>NC_000007.14:61878020-61964169 GCF_000001405.40 Homo sapiens
GAGATGATTGTACACATCACAAAGGGGTTTCTCAGATAGCTTGCTTCTCAGCTTCATCTGGAATATTCCCATTTTTGCCATTGACTTCCATGAGCTCCCAAATGTCCTTTTGCACAATGGACAAAAACTGTGTTTCCAAACAGCTGAATCAAAAGCAAAGTTTAACTCTGTGAGATGAATTCACACATCACAAAGCAGTTTCTCAGAAAGTTTCCTTCTAATTTTTATCTGAAGGTATTTTCTTTTTCACCATTGACCTCAATAAGATACAAAATATCCCTTTGCAGATTCTACAAAAACAGTGTTTCCTAACTGCTGAATAAAAAGAAAGGTTTAAATCTGTGAGTTGAATGCACACATCACAAAGTGGTTCCTCAGATAGCTTCATTCTAGCTTTTCTCCTGGGATACTCGCTTTTTCGCCTTTGGCCTCAAAGAGCTCCCAAATGTCCATTCGCAAAAAGGACAAAGACAGTGTTTCCAAACTGCTGAATCAAAAGAAAGGTTTAAATCTGTGAGACGTATGCACACATCACAAAGTGGTAGATGTCATAGCTTCCTTATAGTTTTTATCCTGGGATATTATCTTTTTCAACATCGGCATCAATAAACTGCTGAATCAAAAGAAAGGTTTAACTCTGTGAGATGAAGGCATACATCACAAAGTATTTTCTAAGGAAGCTTCTTTCCAGGTTTTAGATGAAGATATTTTCTTTTTCACCCTTCACAGATTCTACAAAAACAATGTTTCCTAACTGCTGAATGAAAAGAAAGGTTTAAATCTGCGAGATGAATGCACACACCACAAAGCCATTTTTCAGATAGGTTCCTTCAATTTTTATCCTGGGATATTTGCTTTTTCACTATTGGCCTCAAAGAGCTCCAAAACGTCCATTCACAGAATGGACAAAAACAGTGTTCCCACACTGCTGAGTGAAAAGGAATGTTTAACTCTGTGAGATGAATGCAGAAATCACAAAGCAGTTTCTCAGAAAACTTCTCTCTAGTTTTTATATGAAGATATATTCTTTTTTCACCATAGGACTCAAAGAATTCCCAGATATCCCTTCGTAGAATCCACAAAAACAGTGATTCCAAACTGCTGAATTAAAAGAAAGTGTTAACTCTACGAAATGAATGCCCACATCAAAAAGGGGCTTCTCAGACAGCTTCCTTCTAGTTTTCATTTGAGATATTCACTTTCTCACCTTTGGCCTCAGTGAGCTCCCAAAAGTCCTTTTGCAGAATGGACAAAAATACAGTTTCCAAACTGCTGAATCAAAGAAATGTTTTAACTCTGTGAGATGAATGCCCATATCACAAATCAGTTTCTTAGACAGCTTCCCTCTAGTTTTTATCCTGAGATATTCGCTTTTTTGCCATTGGTCTCAATTACCTCCCAAATGTCCATTCGCAGAATAGACAAAAAGAGTGTTTCCAAACTGCTGAATCATAAGAAAGCTTTAACTCAGTGAGATGAATGTATACATCAGAAAGCAGTTTCTCAGATAGCTTCTTTCTAGTTTTTATCTAAAGATATTTTATTTTTCAACATAGGCCTCAGTGTGCTCTGAAATATCCCTTTGCAGATCTACAAAAAGAGTGTTTCCAACCTACTGAACGCAAAGTCACGTTTAACTCTGTGAGATGAATGCACATATCACAAAGCAGTTGCACAGAGAGCTTCGTACTAGTTTTTATTCTGGAATATTCAATTTTTTGCTATTGGCCTCAATGAGCATCAAAATATCCATTCTCCAAATGGACAAAAACAGCATTTCCAATCTGTTGAATCAAAAGAAAATTTTAAGTCTGTGAGATGAATGCACATATCACAAATCAGTTTCTCAGGAAATTTCTTTCTAGTTTTTATCTGAAGATATTTTCTTTTTCACCATAGGTCTCAATAAGTTCCCAAATATTGCTTTGCAGATTGTACAAAAACTGTGTTTCCTAACTGCTGAATGAAAATGAAGGTTTAACTCTGCAAATTGAAAGCAGACATCACAAAGTGGTTTCTCAGATAGCTTCTTTGTAGTTTTTATCCTGGGATATTTGCTTTATTGAAATTGGCCACAATGAGCTCCAAAATGTCATCCACAGGAAGGACAAAAACAGTGTATGTAAACTGCTGAGTCAAAAGAAAGATTTATCTATGAGACATGAATGTACACATCACAAAGTGGTTTCCCATATAGCTTCCTTCTAGTTTTTATCCTGGGATATTTGCTTTTTTGCTATTGGTCATTATGTGCTCCCAAATGTCCATTTGCAGAATGGACAAAAACAGTGTTTCCAAACTGCTGAATGAAAAGAAAGTTTTTACTCTGCCAGATGAGTGCACACATCACAAAGCAGTTTCTCAGATAGCTTCCTCATGGTGTTTATCCTGGAATATTTGCTTTTTCGCTTTTGGGCTCATTGACGTCCCAACTGTTGATTTGCAGAAGGGACAAAAACAGTGTCTCCAAACTGCTGAATGAAAAGAAAGATTTAACTCTGTGAAGTGCATGCCTCTATCACCAAGCAGTTTCTCAGATACCTTCCTCTAGTTTTTATCCTGGGATATTCACTTTTTCACCTTTGGCCTCAAAGGGCTCCCAAATGTCCTTTGTCAGAATGGACAAAAACAGTGTTTGCAAACTGCTGAATCAAAAGAAAGGTTTAACTCTGTGACACGAATGCATACATCACAAAGTAGTTTCTCAGAAAGCTTCATTCTATTTTTTATCTGAAGATATTTTCTTTTTCACCATAGACCTCAATGTGCTCCCAAATATTCCTTCACATATTATAGAAAAACAGTGTCTCCAAACTGCTGAATGAAAAGAAAGGTTTAACCTTGTGACATGAATACACACATAACAAAGCAGTTTCTCAGATAGCTTCCTTCTAGTTTTTCTCTTGGCATATTCGCTTTTTTGCTATTGGCCTCAATGAGCTCCAAACTGTCCATTCAAACAATGGGCAAAAAGACTGCTTCGAAACTGCTGAATCAAAAGAATGATTTACCTCTGTTGGATGAATGCATGCAAGCCAAAGCAGTATCTCAGAAATTTTCCTTGTAGTTTTTACTTGAAGATATTTTCTTTTTCATGACAGGCCTCAATGCATGCCCAGATGTCCCTTTCCAGATTCTACAAAAACTGTGTTTCCAAATTGCTGAATATAAAGAAAGGTTTAACTCTGCAAGATGAGTGGACACATCACAAAGCAGTTTCTCAGTTTCCTTCTAGTTTTTATAACGGGATATTCCCTTTTTCAGAAAACCCATTGGCCACAATGAGCTCCCAAATGTCCTTTCACAAAATGGTCAAAAACAGTATTTCCATACTGCTCAATCAAAACAATGTTTAAATCTATGAGATGAATGCACTCATCACAAATGTGTTTCTCATAAAGATTCTTTCTAGTTTTTATCTGAAGATATTTTCTTTTTCACCATAGGCCTTAAGGCAGTCCCAAATATCCCTTCACAAATTATACAAAAACAGTGTTCCCAAACTGCTGAATACAAAGAAACATTCAACTCTGTGAGATGAATGCACACATCAGGAAGAAGTTTCTCAGATAGCTTCCTTCTTGCTTTTGTCCTGAGATATTCGCTTTTTTGCCATTGGTCCAATGAGCTCCCAAATGTCCGTTTGCAGAATGGACAAAACAGTATTTCCAAAATGCTGAATGAAAGGAAAGGTTTAACTCTGTGAGATTAATGCACACATCACAAAACGGGTTCTCAGATAGCTTCCTTCAAGTTTTAAACCTGGGATATTCCATTTTTCACTTTTGGCCTCAAAGAGCTACAAAATGTCCATTCACAGAATGGACAAAAACAGTGTTTCCAAACTGCTGAACCAAAGGAAAGATTTTCCTCTCTGAGCTGAATTCCAAGATCACCAAGTATTTCTCAGAAAGCTTCTTTCTATTTTTTATCTGAAGATATTTTCTTTTTCACCACAGGACTCAGTGGACCCCGAAATATCCCTTTGCACATTCCACAAAAGCAGTGTTTCAAAACTACTGAATGAAAAGAAAGGTTTAACTCTGTGAGATGAATGCACACTTCACACATCGGTTTCTCAGGTAGCTTCCTTCTAGTTTTTATCATGGGATATTCTCTTTTCCACCATTGGCCTCAATGAGCTCCTAATCATCCATTCACAGAATGGACAAAATTAGTTTCCAAACTGCTTAAACAAAAGAATGGTTTAACTCTGTGAGGTGAATACACACATCACAAAACAGTATCTCAGAAAATTTCCCTCTAGTTTTTAACTGAAGATATTTTCTATTTCATGATAGGCCTCAACATGTTTCCTAATGTGCCTTCACAGGTTTTACAAAAAGAGTCTTTCCAAACTGCTGAATAAAAAAAGTTTTAGCTCTGTGAAACAAATGCCTTCATCAACAAGCAGTTTCCCAGATAGTTTCTTTCTAGTTTTTATCTGAAGATATTTACTTTATCAACATTGGCCTCAATCCACTGTAAAATATCTCTTCCAAGATTCTACAAAAAATGCGTTTCAAAATTGCTGAATGAAAAGAAAGGTTTAACTCTGCAAGATGAATGCACACATCATAAAGCAGTTTCTCAGATAGCTTCCTTCTAATTTTTATACTGGGATATTCTCTTTTTTGAAATTTGACAAAATGAGCTCCGAAATGTCTATTCACATATCAGACAAAAAGTGTTCCCACACTGCTGAATAAAAAGAAAATTTAACTGTGTCAGATTAATGGACAAATCACAACGCAGTTTCTCAGAAAATTTCTTTCTAGATTTTATGTGAAGATATTTTCCTTTCCACAATAGACCTCAACGTGCTCCCAAATGCCCCTATGCAGATTCTACAAAAACAGTGTTTCCAAACTGATGAATGAAAAGGAAGGTTTAGGTATGTAAGATGAATGCACAGCTCACAAAGCAGTTTCTCAGAATGCTTCTTTCTAATTTTAATCTGAAATTATTTTCTTTGTCATCATTGTCCTCAATGAGCTCCCAAATATCTAGTTGCTGATCCTACAAAACAGTGTTTCCAAACTGCTGAATAAAAGGAAGGTTAAACTCTGTGAGATGAATGAACACATAACAAAGTGGTTTCTCAGATAGCTTCCTTCCAGTTTTTATCCTGGGATATACGCATTTTTGCCATTGGCCTCAATGAGCTCCCAAAAGTCCATTCACAGAATGGACAAAAACTGTTTCCTAACTGCCAAATGTAAAGACAGGTTTAAATCTGCCAGGTGAATGCACACATCATAAAGAGGTTTCTCCAATATCTTCCTTCTAGGTTTTCTCCTGGGATTATCGCTTTTTTGCCATTGGCCCCAATGAGCTCCCAAATCTCCATTTGGAAAATGTACAAAAACAGAGTATGCAAACTACTGAATCAAAATAAAGTTTTAACTTTTTGAGATGAATGCACATGTTACAAAGCCGTTTCTCAGAAAGCTTCTTTCTAGTTTTTATCTGAAGATAATTTCTTTTTCACCATAGGTCTCAATAAGCTCCCAGATATCCCTTCGTAGATTTTACAAAAAAGTGTTTCCTAACTGCTGAATGAATAAGAAGCTTTAACTCTGACAGTTGAATGCACATATCACAAATCAGTTTCTCAGATAGCTTCATTCTAGTTTTTATCCTGGGACATTCACTTTTTTGCTATTGGCCTCAATTTGCTCCCCAATGTCCATTCACAGTAAGGACAAAAACAGTGTTTCCAAAATGCTGAATGAAAAGAAATGTTTAACTGAGAGATGAATGAACACATCACAAAGTGGTTTATCAGATAGCTTCCTTCCAGTTCTTATCCTGGGATATTCACTTTTTTTACCTTTGGCCTCAATGAGCTCCAAAATGTCCATTTTAGGAATGGGCAAAAAAAGGTTTTCCAAACTGCTGAATCAAAAGAAAGGTTTAACTCTGTGAAATGAACTCACACACCTCAAAGCAGATTCTCAGAAAGCTTCTTCTTTCTAGTTTTTAAGTGAAAATATTTTCTTTTTCACCATAGGCCCCAATTCACTCCAAATATCCCTATGCAGATTCTACAAAAATAGTGTTTCCAAACTGTTGAATGGAAAGAAAGGTTTACCTCTGTGAGATGAATGCAAACATCACCAAACTGTTTGTCATATAGCTTCCTTCTAGTTTTTATCCTGGGATATTCACTTTTTCACTGCTGGCCTCAATGAGCTTACAAATGTCCATTCACAGAATGGAGAAAAAAAAAAGATTTTCCAAACTGCTGAATGAAAAGAAATGTTTATGTCTGTGAGATGAATGCAAATTTCAGAAAGTGGTTTCTGAGATAGCTTCCTTCTAGTGTTTATCCTGGAATATTCACTGTTTTGCTGTGGGCATCAGTGAGCTCCCAAATGTCCATTCGCAGAATGGACAATGTGTTTCCAAACTGCTGAATCAAAATTAAAGTTTACCTCTGTGAGATGAATGCACACATCACAAAGCAGTTACTCAGCAAGCTTCTTTCTAGTTTTTATTTGATGATATTTTGTTTTTCACTATGGGCCTCAATGCACTCCCAAAGATCCCTTCTCAGATTCTACAAAAACAGTGTTTCCAAACTGCTGAATGCAAAGAAAATTTTAAATCTGCGAGATGAATGCACACATCACAAACCAGTTTCTCAGACAGCTTCTTTCTAGTTTTTATCCTGGGTTATTCACTTTTTTGCCATTTTCCTTAATCAGCTCCCAAATGTCCATTTTCTGAATGGAGACAAACAGTTTTTCCAAACTACTTAATCAAAGAAACGTTCAACCCTGTGAGATGAATGAATCCATCACAAAGCAGTTTTTCAAAAACCATCTTTCTAGTTTTTATTTGATGATATTTTGTTTTTCACCATGGGCCTCAGTGCACTCCCAAATATGCCTTTTCAGATTCTACATAAACAGTGTTTACAAACTGCTGAATGAAAAGAAATGTTTACCTCTGTGAGATGAATGCACACTTCACAAAGCCATTTCTCAGATAGCTTCAGTGTAGTTTTTATCCTGAGATATTAGTTTTTTCACAATTGACTTTAATGAGCTTCCAAATGTCCATACGTAGAACGGACAAAAACAGTGTTTCCAAACCACTGAAACAAAAGAAACGTTTAACTCTATGAGATGAATGTAGACAGCACAAAGTAGTTTCACCAAAACTTCTTTCTAGATGTTATCTGAAGATATTTTCTTTTTCACCATAGGCCTCACTGCACCCCCAAATGTACTTTCTTAGATTCTACAAAAACAGTGTTTCTAAACAGCTGCATGAAAAGAAAAGTGTATCTCTGTGAAATAAATGCACACATCACAAAGGGGTTTCTCTGATAGCTTCCTTCTAGTTTTTATCCTGGGATATTCACTTTTTCACCATTGGCCTCAATGGCACCAAAATATCCATTTGCAGAGTGGACAAAAACAGTTTTTCAAACTACCGAATCAAAAGAACGTTTTAAGACTGCGGGATGAATGCACAAATCACAAAACAGTTTGTCAGAAAGCTTCACTCTAGTTTTTATCTGAAGATATTTTCTTTTTCACCATAGGCATTGAGGCGCTCCCAAATATCCATTTGTAGATTCTACAAACAGAGTGTTTCCAAAATGCTAAATGAAAAGAATGGCTTAACACTCCAAGATGAATGCACACAACATGAATTGGTTTGTCAGCTAACTTCCTTCCAGTTTTTATCCTGGAATATTTGCTATTTTGCCATTGACCCCAATGAGCTCTCAAATGTCCTTCCCCAGAATGGAGAAAAACAGTGTTTGCAAACTGCTGAATAAAAAGAAAGGTTGAAATCTGTGAGAAGAATCCACACACACAAAGTGGTTTCTCAAATAGTTTCCTTCTAGTTTTTATATTGAGATATTCCTGTTTCACCATTGGCATCAATGTTCTCCAAAATGTCCACTTGCAGAATGGAAATTTATCTCTGTGAGATACAGTGTTTCCAAACTGCTGAATTAAAACAAATGTTTACATCTGTGAGATAAATCACAAATCATAAAACAGTTTCTCAGAAAGCTTCTTTCTAGTTTTTATCTGAAGGTATTTTCTTTTTCATCATAGGTCTAAAAGTGCTCCCAAATATCTCTTCACAGATTCTACAAAAACAGTGTTTCCAAGCTGCTGAATGAAAGGAAACGTTTAGCTCTGTGAGATGAATGCGCACATCACAAAGGAGTTTATCTGAAATATTCTTTCTAGTTTTTATCTGAAGATGTTTTGTTCTTCACAATAAGCCTCAATGTGCACCCAAACAGTCCTTCACAGATTATACAAAAGCAGTGTTTCCAAGCTGTTGAATGAAAAGAAAGGTTTAATTCTCTGAGATGAATGCACACATCACAAAGGGGTTTCTGAGATAGCTTTCTTTTTATTTTTATCCTGGGATATTCCTTTTTCTCCATTGGCCTCAGGGAGCTCCTAAATGGCCATTTGCAGAATGGATAAAAACACTGTTTCCAAACTGCTGAATCAAAAGTAAGGTTTAAATTTGTGAGATGAATGCACACATTGCAAGTGGTTTCTTGGATAGATTCCTTCTAGCTTTTATCCCAGGATGTTTGCCTTTTCACCATTGGCCTCAATGAACTTCCAAATGTCCATTCACAGAATAAACAAAAACAGTGTTTCCAAACTGCTGAATCAAAAGAAAGTTTTAACTCTGTGAGATGAATGCACACATCACAAAGCAGTTTCAGAGAAAGTTTCTTTCTACTTTGTATCTGAAGATGATTCCTTTTTCACCATAAGACTCAATGCACTCCCGAGTATCCCTTCACAGATTCTACAAAAACAGTGGTTCTTAACTGCTGAATAAAAAGAAGGTATAATTCTGTGTTGAATGCACACATCACAAAGCAGTTTCTCACATAGCTTCATTCTAGTTTTTATCCTGGGACTTTCACATTTTCGCCCTTGGCCTCAAAGAGCTCCAAAATGTCCACTCACAGAAAGGACAAAAACAGGTTTTCAAAACTGCTGAATCAAAAGAAAGGTTTATCCCTGTGAGACAAATGCACACATCACAAATCACTTTCTCTGAAAGCTTCTTTCTAGTTTTTCTCTGAAACTATTTTATTTTTCAGCGTAGGCCTCAATGCACTCCCAAATATCTCTTAACAGATTCTTAAAAAACAATGTTTCCAAACTGCTGGATGATAAGAAAGTTTTGTCTCTGTGGGACGAATGCATATGTCACAAAGCAGTTTTTCAGATAGTATCCTTCTAGTTTTTATACTGGGATATTCTCTTTTTTGCCATTGGCCTCAATAAGCTCCCAAATGTCCATTCACAGAATGGACAATAATAGTTTCCCAAGCTGCTGAATAAAAATAAAGGTTTAACTATGTGAGATTAATGGGCAAATCACAGATAAGTTTCTCAGAAAACTTCTTTCCACTTTTTATGTGAAGACATTTTATTTTTCACCATAGGCCTAAATGAGCTCCCAAATACCACTTTGCAGATTCTGCAAAAACAGTTTTTCCAAACTGCCTAATGAAAAGGAATGCTTAGGTCAGTGAGATGAATGCACACATCACAAAGAAGTTTACCACGAAGCTTCTTTCTAGTTTTTATCTGAAGATAATTTCTTATTCACCATAGGCCTCAATGTGCTCCCAAATATCCCTTTGCAGATTCTACAAAAAGTTTTTCCAAACTGCTCAATGAAAAGAAACTTTTAACTCTGCAAGATAAATGCTCACATCACAAAGCAGTTTCTCAGATAGCTTCTTTCTAGTTTTTGTCCTTGGATATTCTCTTTTTCACCACTTTCCTTCATGCGCTCTCAAATATCCATTCAATGAAACAACAAAAACAGTGTTTCCAAACTGCTGAATCAAAAGAAAGGTTAGCTATAGGAGTTGAATGCACAAATTACAAAGCAATTTCTCAGAAATATTCTTCCTTCTTTTTTCTGAACATATATTCTTTTTCACCATAGTTCTCAAAGCACTCCCAAGTATCCCTTTGCAGATTCTACAAAAACAGTATTTCCAAACTGCTGAATGAAATGCAACATTTAACTGTGTGAGATGCATGCACACATCATAAAGCAGTTTCTCAGCTAGCTTCCTTCTAGTTGTATCCTGGGATATTAGCTTTTTCACCATTGGCCTAATGAGCACACAAATGTCCATTCACAGAAAGGACAAAAGCAGTGTTTCCTAACTGCTGAATCAAAGAAAGGTTTAACTTGGCAGGATGCATGTGCACATCAGAAAGCAGTTTCTCAGACAGCTTCCTTCTAGTTTATACATTGGGATATTCACTTTTTTGCCATTGGCCTTAATAAGCTCCCAAATGTCCATTCACAGAATAGACAAAAACAGTGTTTCAAAAATACTGAATCAAAGCAAAAGTTTAAATCTGTGAGATGAATGCAAACATCACAATCGTGTTTTTCAGACAGCTTCCTTCTAATTTTTATTTAGGGACATTCACTGTTTTGCCTTTGGCCTCAATGAGCTCCCAAATATTCACTCACAGAATGGACAAAAACAGTTTTTCAAAATTGTTGAATCAAAGGAAAAGTTTAACTCTGTGAGATGAATGCACACATCACCAAACGGTTTCTCAGATAGCTTCTTTCTAGTTTTATACTTGGATATTCTCTTTTTCACCATTGACCTCAATGATCTCCCCAATATCCATTTGCAGAATGGACAAAAAAGGTGTTTCCAAACTGCTGAATCAAAAGGAAGGTTTAACTCTGTGAGATGAATGAAGACATCACAAGTCAGTTTCTCAGAAAGATTCTTTCTAGTTTTTGTCTGAAGCTATTTTCTTTTTCACCATAGACCTTGGTGTACTCCCAAATACCCATTGGCAGATTCTAGAAAAAGAGCTTTTCCAAACTGCTGAATGAAAATAAAGTTTTAACTCTGTGAGATGAATGCACACATCATAAAATGTTTTCTCAGATAGCTTCCTTCCAGTTTTTATCCTGGGATATTCACTTTTTTGCCATTGGCTTCAATTGGCTCCCAAATGTCCATTCACCAAATGGACAAAAACAGTGTTTCAAAACTGCTGAATCAAAGGAAAGGTTTAATTCTGTGAGAATAATGCACACATAAGAAAGCAGTTTCTCAGAAAGCTTCTTTCTCGTTTTTATCTGAAGTTATTTTCTTTTTCACCATTGGCCTCAAAGAGCTCCAAAATGCCCATTCACAGAATGGACAAAAACTTGTTTCAAAACTGGTGAATCCAAAGAAAGGTTTAAGTCTGTCAGATGAAAGCACACATGACAAAGTGGCTTCTCAGATAGCATCATTATAGTTTTCCTCCTGGTATATTCGCTTTTTTGCCATTGTCCTCAATGAGCTCTGAAATATCCATTTGCAGAATGGAAAAAAACTGTGTTTCCAAACTGCTGAATTAAAAGGAAGGTTTAACTCTGTGAGATGAATGCAGACATCACAAAGCAGTTTCTCAGAAAGCTTCTTTCTAGTTTTTATCTGAAGATATTTTCTTTTTCACCCCAGGCCACAATACGCTCCCAAATGTCCCTTCAGCAATTATAGAAAAACAGTGCTTCCAAACTGCTGAATGAAAACAAATGTTTAACTCAGTGACTTGAATGCACACATTGTAAAGCGGTTTCTCAGATAGCTTCCTTCTAGTTTTTATCCTGGTATATTCCCTTTTTCACCATTGGCCTTAATGCACTCCCAAATATCCATTTGCAGAATGTACAAAAACGATGTTTCCAAAGGGCCTACTCAAAGGAAAGTTTTGACTCTGTTATGAATGCACACATAATAATGCAGTTTGTCAGATAGCTTCTTTCTAGTTTTTGTCCTGGATATTCCCTTTTTCACCACTGGCCTCAATGAGGCCCCAAATGTCCTTTCATAGAATGGACAAAAACAATGTCTCCATACTGATGAATCAAAAGAAAGGATTAACTCTCTGAGATGAATGCACACATCACAATGTAGTTCCTCAGAAAGCTTCTTTCTAGTTTTTAGATAAAGATATTCTCTTTTTCACCATAGGCTTCAAAGCTTTCCAAAATGTCCCTTCACAGATTCTACAAAAACAGAGTTTCCAAATGGCTGAATCAAAGGAACAGTTTAAGTCTGTGAGATGAATGCACACGTCACAAAGCAGTTTCTCAGATAGCTTCCTTCCAGTTTATATCCCTGGGTATTCACTTTTTTTGCCATAGGCCTCAATGTGCTCCCAAATATCCCTTTGCAGATTCTACAAAAGCAGCGATTCCAAACTGCTGAATGAAAAGAAAGGTTTAACTTTGTGAGATGAATGCACACATCACAAAGGTATCTCTCAGAAAGCTTCTTTCTCATTTTTATCTGAAGATGTTTTCTTTTTCACCATAAGCCTCAATGTGCTCCCATATATCCCTTCATAGATTCTTCAAAAACGGTGTTTCCAAACTGCTGAATGAAGAAAAGTTTTACCTCTGCAAGATGAATGCACCCATCACAAAGAAGTTTCTCAAAAACCTTCTATATACTTTTTTTCAGAAGGTATTTTCCTTGTCACCTCAGGCCTCATTGCACTCTCAATTGTCCATTTCAAGAATATACAAAAACATTGTTTCCAAACTGCTGAATGAAAAAGAAAGGTGTAACTCTGGGAAATGAAATGCACACATCACAAAGCTGCTTCTCAGATACCTTCCTTCTAGTTTTTACCTCGGATATTCACTTTTATGTCATTGGTCTCAATGAGCTCCAAAATGTGCATTCACAAAATAGACAAAAACAAGGTTTCCAAAATGCTGAATCAAAAGAAAGGTTTATCCCTATGAGATGAATGGACAATTCACAAAGCATGTTCTCAGAAAGCTTCTTTCTTGTTTTAATTTGAAGACATTTTCTTTTTCACCATTGGCAACAATGTGCTCCCAACTCACAGAATGCACCAGAAGAGTGTTACTAAACTGCTTAATCAAAAGAAAGTTTTAACTCTGGGAGATGAATGCCCACATCACAAAGCAGTGTCTCAGATAGCTTCCTTCTAGTTTTTATAGGGGCATATTCCCTTTTTTGCCATTGGCCTCAATGAGCTCCTAAATGTTGATTCACAGAATGAACAAAAACAGTGTTTCCAATCTGCTGAGCCAAAAGAAAGGTTTAACTCCATGCAATGAATGCAAACATCACAAAGCAGTTTCTCAGCAAGATTCCTTCTAGTTTTTATCTGAAGATATTTTCTTTTTCACCATAGGCCTCAAAGTGATCCCAAATGTCCATTCACAGAACAAAAAAAAACAGTGTTTAAAAACTGCTGAATTGAAAGAAATGTTTATCTCTGGAAAATGAATGTGCACATCACAAAGCAGTTTGCCAGATAGTCTCTTTCTTGTTTTTAAGCTGGGATATTCACTTGTTTGCCATTGGCCTCAATGAGGTCCAAAATGTCCATTAGCAGAATAGACAAAAAGAGTGTTTCCAAATTGCTGAATCAAAAGAGAGCTTGAACTCTGAGAGATGAATGCACGCATCACAAAGCAGTTTCTCAGAAAAATTCAGTGAGCTCCCAAATGTCTCAATGAGCTCAGGGAGATCATTGAAACCAAAGGTGAAAAAGCAATTATCCCAGGATAAAAACTAGAAGGAAGAAATTTGAGAAAAAGTTTGTGATGTGTGCATTCATCTCCTAGGGTTAAACCTTTCTTTTCATTCAGCAGTTTGGAAACACTGTTTTTGAAGGATCTGCAAAGGGATATTTGGGAGCACATTGAGGCCTGTGGTGAAAAGGAAAATATCTTCTGATAAAAAGTAGAAAGAAGTTTTCTGAGAAACTTCTTGGTGATGTGTGCATTTAACTCACATATTTAAAACTTTCTTTTTATTCATCAGTGTGGAAACACTGTTTTTGTAGAATCTGTGAAGGGATATTTGGGAGCACATTGAGGCTTATGGTGAAAAAGAAAATATCTTCAGATAAAAACTAGAAAGAAGCTTTCTAAGAAACTTCTTTGTGATTGTGCATTCATCTCACAGAGTTTTACCTTTCTTCTGATTCAGCAGTTTGGAAACACTGTTTTTGTCCATTCTGCGAATGGACATTTGGGAGCTCATTGAGGCCAAAAACAAAAAAGCAAATATCCCAGGATAAAAACTAGAAGGAAGCTGTCTGAGAAATTGCTTTGTGATGTGTGAATTCATCTCACAGAGTTAAAACATTCTGTTCATTCAGCAGTTTGGAAACACTGTTTGTGTAGAATCTCCAAAGGTATATTTGGGGACTCATTCAGGGCAGTGGCAAAAAAGTGAAAATCCCATGATTTAAACTAGAAGGAAACTATCTGAGAAACCACTTTGTGATGTGTGCATTCATCTCACAGAGTTACAGATTTCTTTTTATTCAGCGGTTTGGAAACACTGTTTTTGTAGTATCTGCAAAGGCATATTTGGGAGTGCATTGAGGCCTATGGTGAAGAAGAAAATATGCTCAGATGAAAAATTGAAAGAGGCTTTCTGAGAAACTGCTTTGTGATGTGTGCATTCATCTCACAGAGTTAAACATTTCTTTTTATTCAGCAGTTGGAAACACCATATTTGTCCATTCTGAGAACGGACATTTGGGAGCTCACTGAGGCCAGTGGGGAAAAAGTGAATATCCCAGGATTAAAAATAGAATGAAACTATGTGAGAAACTGGTTTGTGATGTGTGCATTCATCTTGCAAAATTAAACCTTTCTTTTTATTTAGCTGTTTGGAAAAACTGTTTTTGTAGAATCTGCCAAGGGATATTTTGGAGCGTTTTGAAGCCTATGGTGAAAAAGAAAATAACTTCAGATAAAAACTAGAAAGGATTCTGAGAAACTGCTTTGAGATGTGTGCATTAATCTCGCAGAGATAAACGTTTCTTTGAATCAGCTGTTTGGAAACACTGTCTTCGTAGAATTTGTGAAGGGATGCTTGGGAGTGCATTGAAGCATGAGTTGAGAAAGGAAATATCTTCATAATAAAATTAGAAAGAAGTTCTCTTAGTAACTACTTTGTGAAGTCTTTATTCATCTCACAGAGTTAAGCCTTTCTTTTGATGGAGCAGTTTGGAAACACTGTGTCTGTCCATTCTGTGAGTGGACATTTGGGACCTCATTGAGGCCAATGTTGAAAAAGTGAATATCCCAGGATAAAAAGTAGTAGAAAGCTATCAGAGATACAGCTTTGTGATGTTTGCATTCATCTCACAGAGTTAAACCTTTCTTTTGATTCAGCAGTTTGCAAACCCTGCTTTTGAAGAATCTGTGAAAGGACATTTGGGAATGCATTGATGACTTTGGAGAAAAATAAAATATCCTCAGGTAAGAACTGGAAAGAAGCTTTCTGACAAACTGCTTTATGATGTGTGCATTCATGTCACAGAGTTAAACATTTCTTTTAATTCAGGAGTTTGGAAACACTGTTTTTGTGCATTCTGCGAGTGGACATTTCGGAGTTAATTGAGGCCAATTGTGAAAAAGCAAGTGTCCCAAGATAAAAATTCGAGGGAAGCTATCTGAGAAACTGCTCTGTGATGTGTTCATTCATCTCACAGAGAAAATTTTCTTTTGTTTCAGGAGTTTGGAAACACTGATTAGAAAGAATCTTTCTGAGAAATTGTTTTGGGAAGTTTGCATTCATCTCACAGAGTTAAACCTTCCTTTTGATTCAGCCATGTGGAAACAGTGTTTTTGGAATCTGCGAAATGACATTTGGGATCATAATGAGGTCTATGGTGACAAAGAAAATATCTTCAGATTAAAAGTTTAAAGAAGTTTCGGAGAAATTGATTTATGATGTGAGCATTCATATCATAGAGTTAAACCATTATTTTAATTCAGCAGTTTGGAAACAGTTTTTGTAAAATCTGTGAATTGACATTTGGTAGCTCATTGAGGCCAATGGTGAAAAAGCGAATATGCCAAAATAAAAATGGGTAGGAAGGTATCTGAGAAACCACTCTGTGATATGTGCATTCATCTCACAGAGTTAATCCTTTCTTTTGATTCAGCAGTTTGGAAACATTATTTTTGTAAAATATGTAAAAGTCATTTGGGAGTGCTTTTCACCTATGTTGAAAAATAAATTATTTTCAGATAAAAACTAGAAGGAAGCTTTCTGAGAAACTGCTTTGAGTTGTGTGCATTCATCTCACAGAATTAAAGCATTTTTTTGATTCGGCTGTTTGTAAGCACTGTTTTTCTACTATGTTTGACAGGAATTTGGGATCATGTTGAGATCTGTAGTGAAAAAGAAAATATCATCAGATAAAAACTATAAGGAAGATTTCTGAAGAACCTCTTTGTGATGTGTCTATTCATCTCACAGAGTTAAACCTTTCTTTTGATTCAGCAGTTTGGAAACACTGTTTTTGTAGAATCTGAGAATGGGCATTTGGGACCACATTGAGCCCTGTGGTGAAAAAGGGAATATCCCTATAAGAAACTTGAAAGAATCTATCTGAGGAACTGATTTGTGGTGTATGGATTCATCTCAAACAGGTAAAAGCTTTTTTTGATTCAACAGTTAGGAAAAACTTTTTTTGTAGAGCCTGTGAAAGGACATTTAGGAGTGCATTGAAGTCTATGGTGAAAAAGCGATTATTTTTAAATAAAAACTGGAAAGAAGCTATTGGTGAAACTGCTTTGCGATGTGTGGATTCATCTCACAGATTTAAATTTTTGTTTTGATTAATCAGCTTGGAAACACTGTTTTTGCAGAATCTGCAGAGGGACATTTGACAGCTCCTTGAGTCCCATGATGAAAAAGTGAATATTCCCAGATTAAAACTAGAATGAATCTATCTGATGAAATGCTTTGTGAAGTGTGCATTCAACGCACAGAGTTAAACATTTATTTTGATTGAGGAGTTTGGAAACACTGTTTTTGTAGAATCTGTGAAAGGACATTTCAGAGCACATTGGTGCCTTTAGAGAAAAATAAAATATCTTCAGATAAAAACTAGAAAGAAGCTTTCTGACTTTCTGAGAAACTGATTTATGATGTGTGCATTCATGTCACAGAGTTAAACATTTCCTTTGATTCAGGAGTTTGGAAACACTGTTTTTGTACTTTCAGTGAGTGGACAGTTCAGAGCTCATTGAGGCCAATTGTGAAAAAGTGAATGTCCAAAGACAAAAACTCGTTGGAAGCTATCTGAGAATCTGCTCTTTGATGTGTTCATTCATCTCACAGTTATAAACCTTTCTTTTGTGTCAGCAATTTGGAAACACTGTTTAGAAAGAATCTTTCTGAGGAACTGCTTTGTGAAGTGTGCATTCACCTCTCAGAGTTAAACTTTTCTTTTGATTCAACAGTTTGGATATACTGTTTTTTTAGAATCTGTGAAATGAGATTTGGAATTGTAATGAGGTCTATGGTGAAAAAGAATATCTTCAGATTAAAAGTTTAAAGAAGCTTTCTGAGAAACTGATTTATGATGTGTGCATTCATCTCACAGATTTAAACAATTACTTTAATTCAGCAGTTTGGAAACACTGTTTGTGTAAAACCTGTGAATGGACTTTTGGGAGCTCATTGAGGCCAATGGTAAAAAAGTGAATATCCCAAAATAAAAACTGTTAGGAAGATATCTGAGAAACCATTTTGTGATGTGTGCATACATCTCACAGAGCTAATCCTTTCTTTTGATTCAGCAGTTTGGAAACACTGCTTTTGTAGTATCTGGCAATGGACATTTGGGACTGCATTGAGGCCTATGGTGAAAAAGGGAATATACCTATAAGAAACTTGAAAGAATCTATCTGAGGAACTGATTTGTGATGTGTGGATTCATCTCAAAGAGTTAAATCCTTCTTTTCATTCATCATTTTGGAAAAACTTTTTTTGTAGATTCTATGAAAGGATATTTGGGAGTGCATTGAGGTCTAAGGTGAAAAATCTATATCTTTATATGAAAACTGGGAAGAAGCTATTGGTGAAACTGCTTTATGATGTGTGGATTCATCTCAGAGTTTTAAATTTTTGTTTTGATTCATCAGTTTGAAAATACTGTTTTTGTAGAGTCTGCAAAGGGACATTTGAGAGCTCCTTGAGTCCCATGATGAAAAAGCAAATATTCCCAGATTAAAACTAGAATGAAGCTATCTGATGAACTTCTTTGTGAAGTGTGCATTCAACTCACAGAGTTAAACATTCCTTTTGATTGAGGAGTTTGGAAACACTGTTTTTATAGAACCTGTGAGCGGACTTTTGGGAGAGCATTGAGGCCTTTTTTGAAAAAGGAAATATATTTGGATATAAACCTGAAAGAAGCTATCTGAGATACTGTTTTTTGATGTGTGGATTCCTCTCACAGAGTTAAATCCTTCTTTTGATTCAGCATGTTGGAAACACTGTTTTTGTAGAATCTCTGAAGTGACATTTGGAACTGACTGAGACCTGTGGTGAACAGGAGAATATCCCCAGTTACAAACTAGAAAAAATGTGTCTGAGAAACTCCTCTGTGATGTGTGCATCCATCTAAGAAAGTTAAACCTTGCTTTTGATTCAGTTGTTTGGAAACACTGTTTTTGTAGGACCTGTGAAAGGACATTTGGGAGTGCATTGAGGTCTTTGTTGAAAAAGCAAATATATTCAGATATAAACTGAAGGGAGGCTATCTGAGATACTGCTTTTTGATGTGTGCATTCATCTCATAGAGTTAAACCATCCTTTTGATTCAGCAGTTTGGACACACTGTTTTTGTAGAATTTGTGAAAAGATATTTTTGAGCTCATTGAGGCCTTTGGTGATAAAAATATATACCCAGATAAAAACTAGAAAGATATTATCTGTCAAACTGCTTTGTGATATGTGGAATCATCTCACAGAGTTAAACCTTTCTTCTGGTTCAGCAGTTTGGAAACATTGTTTTTGTAGTTTCTGTGAAAGAACATTTGGGAGCACGTTGAGTCCTATGGTGAAAAAGCGAATATCCCCAGATAAAAGTTAGAAAGAAGCTATGTGAGAAATTGCTTTGTGATGTGTGCACTCAACTCACAGACTTACCCTTTCTTTTGATTCAACATTTAGGAAACACTTTTTTTTAGAATCTGTGAAGGAACATTTGGGAGCACTTTTAGACCTATGGTGAAAAAACATATATCCCCAGATAAAAACTAGAAAGAAGTTATCTTTGAAATTGATTTGTGATGTGTGGATTCATCTCAAAGTTTTAGACCTATCTTCTGATTCAGTAGTTTGGAAACCACGTTTTTGTAGAATCTGCCAAGGGACACTTGGGAGCTCATTGAGAATAATGTTGGAAAAGCAAATATTCACTGATAAAAACTAGAAAGAAGCTATATGCGAAAGTTATTTGTGATGTGTGGATTTATCTTCCAGAGTTAATCTTTTCTTTGGATTCAGCATGTTGGAAACACTGTTTCTGTAGAATCTGCAAAGGGATATTTGGGAGTGCATTGAAGCCAGCCATGAAAGAGCGACTATCCGCATATAAAAACAAAAAAGAAGATATCTGCAAAACTGCTTTGTCATGTTTGGATTCAGCTGACCGAGTTAAGACTTCCTTTTCATTCAGCAGTTTGGAAACACTGTTTTTGTAGAATCTACAAAGGGACCTTGCAAACACGTTGAGGCCTACAATAAAAAAGAAAATATTCGAGGATAAATCTTGAAAGAAGCTGCATGTGAAACTGCTTTGTGATGTGTAGATTCGTCTCACAGAGTTAAAGACTTGTTTCAATTCAGCAGTTTTGAAACACTGTTTCTGTAGAATCCACAAGCGGACATTTGGGAGCCCATTGATGCCTATGGTGAAAAAGTGAATATCTCCAGATAAAAACTAGAAAGCAGCTTGCTGTGAACCTACTTTTTGATGTCTGGATTCATCTAAGAGAGTTAAAAATTTATTTTGTATTAGCAGTTTGGAAACACTGTTTTTGTAGAATCTCCGAAAGGTCATTTGGGAAGGCATTGAGGCCTATGGTAAAGAGGCAAATATACCCAGATAAAACCTAGAAATAAGCTACTTCTTAAATTGTTTTGTGATGTGTGGAAGCATCGCACAGAGATAAACCTTTCTTTGGATTCAGCAGTTTGGAAACTGTTTTTTTAGAATCTGCGAAGGGATATTTGGGAGTGATTTGAGACCTGTGGTAAAAAAGTGAATATACCCAGAAAGAAACTAAAAAAAAAAAAGAGCTATCTGTTAAACTTTTTTGGGATGTGTGGATTCATCTCACAGAGTTAAACCTTTCTTTCCATTCAGCAGTTTGGAAACACTGTTTTAGTAGAATCTGCAAAGGAACATTTCAGAGCTAATTGAGGCCCTGGCAGAGAAGTGTATATTCTAGAAAGAAGCTATCTGAGGAACTGCTTTGTGATGTGTGTATTCATCTAACAGAGTTAAACCTTGATTTTCAATCAGCAGTTTTGAAACACTGTTTTTGTAGAATCTACAAAAGGACATTTGGGAGCGCATTGACGGATATAGTGAAAAAGCGAATATCTCCACATAAAAACTAGAAAGAAGCTATCTGAGCAACTGTTTTGTGATGTGTGCATTCAAATTACATAATGAAACTTTTCTTTTGATCCTGCAGTTTGGAAATTTTTTTTTGTAGAATCTGGGAAGGCACATTTGGGAGAGCTTGAAGCACATGGTGAAAAAGTGAATATCCTCAGATAAAAACTAGAAAGAAGTTGTCTGTGAAACTGCTGTTGCTGTGTGGATTCATCTAACAGAGTTAAGCCTTTCCTTTGATTTAGCAGTTTGGAAACAATGCTTTTGTAGAATCTGCAAAGTGCTCATTGATGCATATAGTGAAAAATAAATAACCCTAGATAAAAACTACAAAGAAGCTTTTTGTTAATCTGCCTTGGGATGTGTGGATTCATCTCACAGACTTAAAAATTTCTTTTGATTTAGCAGTTCGGAAACACTGTTTTTGTAGCAGCATCAAAGGGACTTTTGGGAGTACATTGAGGCCTGTGGTAAAAAAGGAAATGTCCCCATATAAAAACCAGAAAGAATCTATCTAAGAAACTGTTTTGTGATGTGTGCATTCAACTCAGAGAGATAAACATTTCTATTCATTCAGCTGTTTGTACCACTGTTTTGTAGATCCTTTGAAGGGACATTAGGGAAGCCTTTGAGTCCTATGGTGAAAGGGCAAATATCCTCAAATAAAAACTACAAAGAAGCTGTCTGTGAAACTGCTTTGTGAATGGTGCATTCATATCACAGATTTAAATTTTTCTTTTGATTCAACAGTTTGGAAAACCGTTTTTGTAGAATCTGTGAAGGGAAATTTGGGAAGTCATTGAGGCCTAATGGGAAAAGGCAAATATCCAATGATAAAAACTAGAAAGAAGCTATCTGTGAAACTGCTTTGTGATGTGTGCATTTATCTCTCAGAGTTAATCCTTTCTTTTGATTCAGCACGTTGGAAACACTATTTCTTTAGAATCTTCAAAGGGACTTTTGGGAGGTCATTGAGGCCTATGGTAATGAAGAGAATATCCCCAATAAAAACTAGAAAGAAGATATGTGGAAAAGTATTTTGTGTGTGTAAATTCATCTGGCAGAGTTAACCCTTTCTTTTGATTCAGCAGTTTGGAAACACTGTTTTTGTAGAATCTACGAAGGGATATTTGGGAGCTCATTGAGGCCAATGGTGACAAAGAGAAAATCACAAGATAAAAACTAGAAAGAAGCTATCTGTGAACTGCTTTGTTATATGCACATTCATCTCACAGAGGGAAAACTTTGTTTTGATTCAGCAGTTTGGAAACACTGTTTTTGTAGAATCTATGAAAGGACATTTGAGAGGGAATTGAGTCCTATGATGAAAATGCAAACATCTCCAGATAAAAACTACAAAGAAGCTATCTGCAAAACTGCTTTGTGATGTAGGGATTCATCACAGACAGTTAAGACTTTCCTTTGATTCAGCACCTTGGAAAAACTATTTTTGTAGAATCTGCAAATGGATATTTGGGACCTCATTGAAACCTATGGTGAAAAAGAGAATATCCCCACATAAAAACTAGAAAGAAGACACCTGTGAGGCTGCATTGTGTTGTGTGGATTCATCTCACATTGTCAAACCTTTGTTTTGATTCAGCAGTTTGGAAACACTGTTTTTGTAGTATCTGCAGAGGGATATTTGAAATCTCTTTGAGGCCAAAAGTGAAATACTGAATATCTCCAGATAAAAACTAAAAAAAAAATCTGTCTGTTAAACTGCTTTGTGATGTGTCAACTTATCTCATAGAATTAAACCTTTCTTTTGATTCAGCAGTTTGGAAAAACTGTTTTTGTAAAATCTGCAAAAGGACATTGGGAGTGAATTGAGTCCTGTGGTTAAAAAGGGAATAAACCCAGATAAAAACTAAAATGAAGCTATTGGTTAAATTGCTTTGTGTTGTGTGGATTCATCTCAGAGAGTTAAGCTTTTCATTATATTCAGCAGCTTGTAAACACTGTTTTTGTAGAATCTGTGAATGGATATTTTGGAACTCACTGAGACCAACGGTGAAAAAGTGAATATCCCCAGATAAAAAGTAGAATGAAGCTATCTGTGAATCCGCTTTGTGATGTATGGATTCATCTCAAAGAGTTAAATCTTTCTTTTGATTCAGCACATTGGAAACACTTTCTGTTGAATCTGTGAATGGATATTTGGGAGTGCCTTGAGGACTATGGTGAAAAAACCGAATATCCCCAGATAAAAACTAAAAAGAAGCTACCTGTGAAACTGCTTTCTGATGTGTGGATTCATCTCACAGAGGTAAACTTTTCTGTTCTGCACTTTGGAAACATTTCTTTTTTTTGCAGAATCTGTGAAGGGACATTTGGGAGCTCATGAGGCCTATGGTAAAGAAGGTAATATTCACAGTTAAAAACTAGACAGAAGCTCTCTGTGAAACTGCTTTGTGATGTTTGTATTCATCTCACAGAGTTAAATCTTTCTTTTGATTCAGCTATTTGGAAACACTGTTTTGTAGGATCTGTGAAGGGACATTTGGGAACTCATTGATGCCCATGGTGAAAAGGCAAATAACCCCAGATAAACACAGAAAGAAGCTATCAGTGAAACTGCTTTTTGATGTGTGGATTTGTCTCACACATTTAAACCTCGAGTTTGAATCCCCAGTTTGGAAACACTATTTTTGTAGAATGTGCAAAAGGACATCTCGGAGAGAATAGTGGCCTGTGGTGAAAAAGCCAATATCCCCAGATAAAAAATAGGAAGAAGCTAACTGCGAAAATACTTTGTCATGTGTGGATTTATCTCACAGAGTTAAGCCTTTCTTTTGAGTAGGATGTTGTAAACACTGTTTCTGTAGATTCTGTGAGGGACATTTTGGAACTCATTGAGGCCTATGGTGAAAAAATGAATATCCCCAGATGAAAACTAGAAAGAAGCTATCTGTTAAGCTGCTTTGTTATGTGTGATTCATCTCAGAGAGTTAAAACTTCGTTTTGATTCAGCATGTTGGAAACAGTCCTTTTGTAGAATCTGTGAAGGGTTATTTTGGGGAGCATTGAGGACTATACTGACAAACTGGATATCCCAAGATAAAAACTAGAAAGAAGTTTCTGTGAAGCTGCTTTGTGATGTGTGGATTTATCTCAGAGAGTTAAACCTTTCTTTTGATTCAACAGTTTGGAAAAAGTGTTATTGGGGAATCTATGAAGGGGCATTTGTGAAGTGTGTTGAGGTCTATTGTGACAAACTGAATATCCCCAGATAAAAATTAGAAAGAAGCTACCAGTGAAACTACTTTATGATGTCTGGACTTATCTCACAGAGTTAAACTTTTTTTTGATTCAGTAGGTTGGAAACAGTCCTTTTCAAGAATCTGCAAAGGGAGATTTGGTAGTGCACTGAGGCCTATTGTGAAAAAGCAAATATCTCCATATAAAAACTAGAAAGAAGCTATTTGTGAAACTGCTTTGTGACATATGGATTCATCTCACAGAGTTAAACCTTTCTTTTGATTCAGCAGGTTGGAAACAGTCCTTTTGTAGATTCTGGGAAGAGAAATTTAGAGTGCATTCAGACCTGTGGTGTGGAAGAGAACATCCCCAGATAAAACTGGAAAGAAGCTATCTGTTAAATTGCTTTGTGATGTGTAAATTCATCTCACAGAAGTAAGCCTCTTTTTTTCATTCAGCAGTTTTGAAACACTGTTGTGGTTGAGTCTGCGAAGGGACATTTGGGAGCTCATTGACACCTATGTTGTAAAACCAAATATCCCCAGATAAAAACTAGAAATAAGCTGTCTGTGAAACTGCTTTGGGATGTGTGGATTTATCTCACAGGGTTAAACATTTTTTTTTTGATTCAGCCGTTTGGAAACACTGTTTTTGTAGAATCTACAAAGGGATAATTGAGTCTGCATTCTGGCCTATGTTGATAAATAGAATATCCTCAGATAAAAACTAGAAAGAAGCTATCTGTGATACTGTTCTGTGATATGTGGATTCGTCTCACAGAAGAAAACCTTTCTTTTGATTCAGCAGTTAGGAAATACTGTTTTCGTAGGATCCGTGAGAGGACAGTTTGGAACTCATTGAAGCCTATGGTGGAAAAGGGAATATCCTTAGTTAAAAACTAAAAAGAAGCTATCTATGAAACTGCTTTGTTACGTATGGATTCATCTCACAGAGTTAAATCTTTCATTTGATTCAGCAGTTTGGAAACACTGTTTTTGTAGAATATGAGAAAAAACATTTGGGAGCTTATTGAGGCCCATGGTAAAAAAGTGATTGTCGCCATATAACAACTACCGAGAAGCTATCAGTGAAACTGCTTTTTGATGTTTTGATTCATCTCACAGAATTAAACCTGTGTTTTGATTCATCAGTTTGAGAATACTTTTTTTTTTTTGTAGAGTCTGTGAAGGGACATTTAGGAGCTCATTCAGGCATATGGTGAAAAAGTGAATATCCCCAGATAAAATATAGAAAGAAGTTATCTGTGAAACTGCTTTGTGATGTGTGGATTCTTCTCAGATCAATAAGCCTTTCTTTTGATTCAGCAGGTTGGGAACAAGTCTTTTGTAGAATCTGCGAAGGGGCATTTGGGAGCACATTTTGGCCTATGGTGAGAAACAGAATAACCAGAGATAAAAACAAGAAAGAAGCAATTTGTGAAACTGCTTTGCATTGTGTGGATTCATCTCACTGAGGTAAAACTCTCTTTTGATTCAGCAGTTTGGAAACACTGTTTTTGTGAAATCTATGGAAAGATATTTGAGAGAGAATTGAGGTCTAAGGGGAAAAGGCCAATATCCCTAGATAAAAACTAGAAGGAAATTTTCTATGAAACTGCTTTGTGATGTGTGGATTCAATCACAGAATTAAATCTTTTTTGTGTGTCAGCAGACTGGAAACAGTTCTTTTGTAGAATCTGTGAAGGGACAATTGGGAGTTCATTGATGCCTATGGTGAAGAAGGGAATATCCCCAGATAAAACCCAGAAAGAAGCTATCTGTGAAACTGATTTGTTATGTGTGGATTCATTTCACACAGTTAAACCTTTCTTTTGATTCAGTTGGTTAGAACCAGTCTCTTTGTAGAATCTGTGAAGGTACATTTTGTAGAGCATTTATGCCTATGATGACAAACAGAATATCCCCAGATAAAAACTAGATAGAAGCTATCTGTGAAACTGGTTTGTGATGTCTGGATTCATCTCACAGTGTTTAAAATTGCCTTTTGTTCATCAGTTTGGAAACTCTGTTTATGTAGAATCTGCCAAGGGACTTTTAGGAGCTCATTGATGTATATGGTGAAAAAGAAAATGTCCCCAGATAAAAACTGGAAATAAGGTATATGTGAAACTGCTTTGTGATGTGTGGATTCTTCTCACAGAGTTGAACATTTCTTTGATTCAGCAGATTGGAAACAGTTCTTTTGTAGGGTCTGCGAAGGGACATTTGGGAGCAAATTGAGGCCTATGGTGACAAAACGAATATTCCCAGATAAAAACTAGAAAGAAGCTAGCTATGAAACTGTTTTGTGATATGTAGATTCAACTCACAGAGTTAAACCTTTCTTTTGATTCAGCAGTTTACGACAGTCCTTTTGAGGACTCTGCAAAGGGACATTTTGGAGCGCATTGTGGTCTTTGGTGACAAGGTGAATATCCCCAGATAAAAACTAGAAAGACGCTGTCTGTGAAACTGCTTTGTGATGTGTGGATTTACCTCAGGAAGTTAAACTTCTCTTTTCATTCAGCAGTTTGGAACACTGTTATTGTAGAAACTGTGAAGGGATATTTTGGAGCTCATTGAGGCCTTTAGTGAAGAAGCAAATAACTCCAGATAAAAACTAGAAAGAAGTTATCTGTGAAACTGCTTTGTGATCTGTGGATTCTTCTCACAGGGTTAAAACTTTCTTTTGATTCAGCAGGTTAAAAATAGTCTTTTTGTAGAATCTGTGATGTGACATTTGGGAGCACATTGAGGCCTATGGTGGCAAACAGAATATACCGAGATAAAAACTAAAAAGAAGCTATCTGTGAAACTGCTTTGTCATGTTTGAATTCAACTCAGAGAGTTAAAACTTTCTTTTCCTTTAGCAGTTTGAAAACACTGTTTGCATAGAATCCACGAAGGGACATTTGGGAGCTTATTGAGGCCTATGGTGTAAAAGAAAATATGTCCAGACAAAAACTGGAAGGAAGCTATCTCGAAACTGCTGTGTGATGTTTGGATTCAACTCACAGAATTAAACTTTTCTTTTGATTCAGCAGTTTGGACACACTGTTTGTATAGAGTCTGTGAAGGGAAATTTAGGAGCACATTGAGGCCTATTGTTAAACTGTGAATATCCCCAGGTAAAAACTAGAAAGAAGTTATCTGTGAAACTTCTTTGTGATATGTGCATTCTTCTCACAGAAATAAACTTTTTTTTTTATTCAGCACGATAGAAACAGTCCTTTTGCAGAATCTGTGAAAGGACAATTGGGAGTGCATTCTGACCTGTGGTGATAAACTGCATATCCCCACATAAAAACTAGAATGATGCTAACTGTGAAACTACTTTTTGATGAGTGGATTCAACTCAGAGTGTTAAACCTTTGTTTTGATGCAGCAGTTTGGAAACACTCTTTTTGAAAAATATCTGTAGGGATATTTTGAGATGCATTTAGGCCTATGTTGAAAATGCAATTATCTCCAGATAAAAAATAAAAAGAATTTCTTTGTGAAACTGCTTTGTGATGTGTGGATTCTTCTCAGAGTTAAAACTTTGTTTTGATTAAGCAGGTTGGAAACAGACTTTTTGTAGAATCTTAGAAGAGACATTTCGGAGCCATTGAGGCCTGGTGTAACAAACCATATATCCCCACATAAAAACTAGAAAGAAGCTGTTTGTGACATGCTTTGTGTGTGTGGATTCATCTCACAGAAAGAAATCTTTCTTTTGATTCCTTGGTTTGGAAACAATGCTGTTATAGAATCTGTGAAGGGACAATTTGGAGCTCATTGAGGCCAAGGGTGAAAAAGCAAATATCCCCAGATAAAAACTAGAAGGAAGCTCTGTGTGAAACTGCCTTGTGATGTGTGGATGCATTTCATAGTGTTAAACCTTTCTTTTGATTCAGCAGTTTGGAAATACTCTATTTGAAGAAGATAAAAACTAGAAATAAGCCATCTGAGAAACTGTTTTATGGTGTGTGCATTAGTCTCACAGAGTTAATACTTTCTTTTGATTCAGCAGGTTAAAAACAGTCCTTTTGTAGAATCTGCAAAGAAGCATTTGGGAGTGCATTGTGGGCTATGGTGACAAACCGAATATCCCCAGATAAAAGTAGAAAGAAGCTATCTGTGAAGCTGCTTTGTGATGTGTGGATTCGTCTCAAAGATTTAAACCTTTCTTTTGATTTAGCAGAATGGAAATAGCCCTTTTGTAGAATCTCCCATACTGCTTTGTGATGTGTGGATTCATTTCACAGAGGTAAACCTTTCTATTGATCCAGCAGGTTGGGATCAGTCCTTTTGTAGAATCCACAAAGGGACATTTGGTAGTGCATTGATGCCTATGGTGACAAACTGAATATCTGAAGATGAAAAGTAGAAAGAAGCCATCTGTGAAACTATTCCATGACGTGTGGATTCATCTCACAGAAGTAAACCTTTCTTCTGAATCAGCAGTTTGGAAACATTGCTTTTCTAGAATCCATGAAAAGACATTTGGCAACTTGTTGAGGCCTAAGGTGAAAAAGAGAATATCCCCAAATAAAAACTAGAAAGAAGTTAGCTGTGAAACTGTTTAGAGATGTGTGGATTCTTCTCACAGATTTGAACCTTTCTTTTAATTCAGCAGGTTGGAAACACTCCTTTTTTAGTATCTGCAAAAGGACATTAGGGAGTACATTGAGGGCTACAGTGATAAACTGAATAACTCCAAATAAAAAGTAGAAAGAAGTTATCTGTGAAACTGCTTTGTGATGTGTGGATTCATCTCTCAGAGTTAAACCTTTCTTTTGATACAGCAATTTGGAAACACTGTTCTTGTAGAATCTGCAAAGGGGTATTTGGGAGCTCACTGAGGCCTATGGTGACAAACTAAATATCCCCATATAAAAACTAGAAAGAAGATATCTGTGAAACCCCTTTGTGATGTGTGGATTCAATTCAGAGAGATAAACCATTTTTTTGATTCAGCAGTTTTTAAACACTGTTTGAGTAGAATCTGCAAAGAGATATTTGGGGGCTCATTGAGGCTTATGGTGAAAAAACCAGTATCGCAAGATAAAAACTAAAAAGAAGCTATCTGTGAAACTGCTTTGTGATGTGTGGATTCATCTCACAGAGTTAAGCTTTTCTGTTGATTCAGTAGTTTGCAAACACTTTTTTTGTAGAATCTGCAAATTGACATTAGTGAGCGCATTGAGGCCTATACAGAAAAAGCCAATATCCCCAGATAAAAACTAGAAATAAGCCACAAGCTAACCTGCTTTATGACGTGTGGATTCATCTCAGAGAGTTAAAACTTCCTCTTGGTTAAGTAGTTTCAAAACACTTTTGTTGTAGAATCTGTGAGGAAACATTTGGGAGCTCTTTTTGGGCTATGGTGAAAAAGCAAGTATCCAAAGATAAAAACTAGAGAGAAGCTCTCTGTGAAACCGCTTTGCAATGTGTGGATTCTTCTTACAGAACTAAACGTTCTTTTTCATTCAGCAGGTTGGAAACAGTCCTCTTTTAGCATCTGCAAAAGGACATTTTGGAGTGCATTGAGGCCTATGGTGACAAACTGAATATCCCCAGATAAAAACTAGAAAGAAGTTAACTGTGAAACTGCTTTGTGATATATGGTTTCATCTCACAGAGTTAAAGCTTTATTTTGATTCTGCAATTAGTAAACACTGATTTGTTAGATTCTGTGAAGGTATATTTGGGAGCCCATTGAGGCCTATGATGAAAAAGCAAATATCCCCAGATAAAAACTTCAAAGCAATTACCTGTGAAACTGCTTTGTGATGTGTGGATTCATCTCACAGAGTTAAACGTTTCTTTTGATTCTGCAGGTTGGCAACAATTCTTTTGCAGAATCTGTGAAGGGAAGTTTGTGAGCTCATTGAGGCCTACATGAAAAAGTGAATATCCCCAGATAACAACTAGAAAGAAGCTATCTGTGAAACTGCTTTTTGATGTGTGGATTCATGTCACAGAGTTAAACCTTTCTTTTGGTTCAGCAGTTTGGAAACACTGTTTTTGTACAATCTGCAGTGACATTTTGGAGCTCATTGGGGCCTTTGTGGACAAAGTGAATATACCCCAATAAAAACTAGAAAGAAGTTTTCTGTGAAACTGCTTTGTGATGTGTGGATTCATCTGACAGAGTTAAACCTCTCTTTTGATTTGGCAGGTTGGAAAGAGTCCTTTCATGGAATCTGTGAAGGGACATTTGGGAGTGCATTGAATCTTATCATGACGAACTGAATATCCTGAAACAAAAACTAGACAGAAGGTATCTGTGAAACTACTTTATGATGTTTGGATTCATCTCACAGACTTAAACGTTTCTTTGGATTCCATCATTTGGAAACACTATTTTTATAGAATCTACGAAGGGAAATTTGGGAGTTCATTAAGGCCTATTTTGAAAAAGCCAACATTTCCAGGTAAAAACTAGAAAGAAGCTATCTGTGAAACTGCAGATGTGTGGATTCATCTCACAAAGTTAATCCTTTCTCTTGATTCAGCAGTTTGGAAACACTGTTTTTATTGAAAGAGCAAAGGGGCATTTGGGAGTTCAATGAGGCCTATGGTGAAGAAGTGAATATCCTTCCATAAAAAAATAGAAAGAAGTTATCTGTAATACTGCCTTGTGATGTGTGCATTCTTCTCACAGCGGTAAACCTTCCTATTGATTCAGTAGCTTCAAAACACTCCTTTTCAAGAATCTGGGAAGCAACATTTGGGAGCACATTGTGGGCTATGGTGACAACCCGAATATCCCCAGATAAACACTAGAAGGAAGCTATCTTTGAAGCTGCTTTGTGATGTGTGGATTCATCTCACAGAGTTCAACCTTCCTTTTGATGCAACATGTTGGAAACACGTTTTTGGTAGAATCTGTGAAGGGACATTTTGGAGTGCATTGATGCCCTCGGTGACTAACTGTATATTCTCAAAATAAAACTAGAAGGAAGCTGTGAAACTGCTTTGGTGGATTTGGATTCCTCTCAGAAAGTTAAGCCTTTCTTTTGATTCACCAATTTGGTAACACTGTTTTTGTTGAATCTGCCTAGGGACACTTGGGACCTCATTGAGTCCTATGGTGAAAAAGAGAGTATCTCCATATAAAAACTAAAAGGAAGCTATCTGTGGAATTGCTTTGTGATGTGTGGATTTATTTCACAGAGTTAAGCCATTCTTTTGATTCAGCAGTTTGGAAACATTGTTTTTCTAGAATTTGTGAAGGGATATTAGGCAGTTCATTGAAGCCTATAGTGAAAAAGTGAATGTCCCTAGATAAAAACTAGAAAGCCGTTATCTGTAAAACTGCTTTGACATGTGTATTTTCTTCTCACAAATTTGAACCTTTCTTTTGATTCAGCAGGTTGGAAATATTCATTTTGTAGAATAGAATCTGCACAGGGACATTTGCATGCACATTGACGCCTATGGTGACAAACATAATATTCCCAGATAAAAACTATAAATAAGCTATATGTGAAACTGCTTTGTGATGTGTGGATTCATCTTACAGAGTTAAACATTTCTTATGATTCAACTGGTTAAAAACCATCCATGTGCAGAATCTGCAAAGGGATACTTGGAAGCACCTTCAGGCCTGTGGTGAAAAAGTGTAGAGCCCCAGATAAAAACTAGAAAAATTTATCTGTGAAACTGCTTTCTGATGCGTGAATTCATCTCACAGAATTAAAACTTTCTTTTGATTCAGCAGGTTGAAAAGTTTTTTTGCAGAATCTGTGAAGGGACATTTGGGAGTGCATGGAGGCCTAAAGTGACAAACTGAATATCCCCAGATAAAAACAAGAAGGCTGATACCCATGAATCTGCCTTCATATGTGTGGATTAATCTCACAGGGTTAAAACCTTATCTTGATTCAGCAGTGTGGAAACACTGTTTCTGTAGAATCAGCAAAGGGACAATTGGGAGGTCATTAAGGTTTATGGTGTAAATACGAGTATCCCCAGATACAAACTAGAAAGAAATTATCTTTCTAGAGAATTTCATCTAGCTATCTAGATAAAACTAGATAATTCTAGAAACTGTTGTGTAATGTGTGGATTCACCTCACAGAGTTAAACTTATGTTTTCATTCAGCAGATTGGAAACAGTCCTTTTGTAGAATCTGTGAAGACACATTTTTTAGTGCATTGATGTCTATGGTGACAAACAAAATATCCCCAAATTAAAACTATAAAAAAGCTATCCATGAAACTTCTTTGTGATGTGTGGATTCATTTCACAGAGTTAAACCTTTCTTTTGATTCAGCATATTGGGAACAGTACTTTTGTAGAATCTGTGAAGGGACACTTTGGAGCTCATTGAGGCCTGTGGTGAAAATGCAAATATCCCCAGGTGAACAATAGAAAGAAATTATCAGCGAAACTACATTATGATGTGTGAATTCACCTCACAGAGTTAAACCCTTGTTTTGTTCATCAGCTTGGAAACAGTTCTTTCATAGAAGCTGCAAAGGAACATTTTGGCGTGCATTGAGGCTTATGATGACAAACCAAAAATCTCTGGATAAAAATTAGAAAGAAGCTGTCTGTGAAAATGCTTTGTGATGCATGGATTCATCTCACAGAGTTAAAACTTTAGTTTCAATCAGCAGGTTGGAAACAGCCTTTTTGTATAATCTGCAAAGTGACATTTGGGAATGCAGTGAGTCCTATGGTGACAAACTGAACATCCCCAGATAAAAACGAGATAGAAGGCATCTGTGAAACGGCTTTGTCATGTGTGCATTCACCTCACAGAGTTAAACCTTTCTATGATTCGGCAGTTTATAAACTCTGTTTTTGTAGAATCTGCAAAGCAACATTTGGGAGGTCATTGAGGCCTATGGTGAAAAAGTGAATATCTTCAGATAAAACTAGAAAGAAGTTATCTGTGAAAATGCTTTGTGTTGTTTGGATTCTTGTCACAGTGTTAAGCCATTCTTTTGATTCATCAAGTTGGAAACAGTCCTTTGGTATAATTTGTGAAAGTGTATTTGAAAGCACATTGAGGCCTATGGGGACAAACAGAATATCCCCAGATAAAAACTAGAAAGAAGCTATCTGTGAAACTGCTTTGGGATGTGTGAATTTATCTAACACAGTTCAATTTTTCTTCTGATTCAGCTGTTTGTAAACACCGTTTTTGTTGAATATGCAAAGGGACACTTCATAGCGCATTGAGGCCTATGGTGACAAACTGAATATTCCCATATAAAAACTAGAAAGAAGTTATCTGTAAAACTACTTCATGATGTGTGAATTCATCTCATAGAGTTAAACATTTCTAATTCTTCAGCAGTTTGCAAACAGTTTCTTTTGTAGAATCTGCAAAGGGATATTTGGGAGCACATTGAGGCCTATCATGACAAACAAATTATCCCCAGATAAAAACAAGAAAGAAGCTCTCTGTGAAACTTCTGTAAGATGTGTGGATTCATCTCACAGAGATAAACATTTCTTTTGATTCAGCAGGTTAAAAACAATCTTTTTGTAGAATTTCTGAAGGTCATTTCCAAGGGCATTGAGGCCTATGGAGACAAATCGAATATCCCCAGACAAAAACTAGGAACAAGTGACTTGTAAAACTGCTTTGTGATGTGTGGATTCATCTCACACAGTTAAATCTTTCTTTTGATTCAGCAATTTGATAACACTTTTTGTAGAATATGTGAAGGGACATTTGGGAGATCATTGAGGCCTATGGCGAAAAAGAAAATATCTGCAGATAAAAACTAGAAAGAAATTATGTGTGAAACTGCTTTCTTATTTGTGGATTCATCTCACAGAATTAAACCTTTCTTTTGATTCAGAAGTTTGAAAACACTTATTTCGTAGAATCTAGGAAAGGACATTTGGAAGCTCTATGAGGACTATGGTGAAAAAAATATAGCCACATATAAAAACTAAAAAGAAGTTATCTGTGAAACTGCTTTTGATGTGTGGATTCATCTCACAGAATTAAAGCTTTCTTTTCATTCAGCAGGTTGGAAGCAGTATTGTGCAGAACCTCCAAGGGGACATCTGGGAGCACTTTGTGGCCTATCGTGACAAACAGAATATCCCAAAATAAAAACAAGAAAGAAGCTATCTGTGAAACTGCTTTGGTATTTGTGAATTCGTCTTACAGAGTTAAACTCTTCTCTTGATTCAGCCATTTGGAATCACTGTTCTTGTAGAATGTACAAAGGGACATATGGTAGCTCATTAAGGTGTATGGTGAAAAAGCAAATATCCCCAGATAAAAACTAGAAAAAATCTCTCTATGAAACTGCTTTGTGACATGTGGATTCATCTCACGGAGGTAATCCTGTGTTTTGATTGGGCAGGTGTGAAGAAGTCCTTTTGTACAATCTGCAAAGGGGCATTTGGGAGTGCATTGAGGACTCTGGTGATGAACTGAATATCCCCAGATAAAAACTAGAAAGAAGCTGTTTGTGAAACAGCTTTGTGATGTGTGGATTCATCTCACAGACTTAAGCCTTTCTTTTGATTCAGCAGTTTGGAAACACTGTTTGTGTAGAATCTGCGAAGGGACACTGGGAGCTCATTGCAGCCTATGGTGAAAAAGTGAATATCCCCAGATAAAAACTAGAAAGAGGCTACCTGTGAAACTCCTTTGTGATGCATGGATTCATTTCAAAGAGTTAAATTTTTCTTTTGATTTGGCAGTTTGAAAACACTGTTTATGTAGAATCTGTGAGGAGACATTTGGAGCTCATTGAGGCCAATGGTGAAAAAGGTAATATCCCCAGATAAAAACTAAAAAGAAGTTACCTGTGAAACTACTTTGTGACGTGTGAATCCTCCTCACAGAGTTAAAACTTTGTTATGATGCAGAAGCTTGGAAACAGTTTTTTTGTAGATTCTGCAAAGGGACATTTGGGAGTGCATTGAGGCCATTTATAACAAACAAAATATCCCCAGATAAATAGAAGAAATAAGATGTCTGTGAAACTGTTGGGGATGTATGGATTCATCTCACAGAGATAAACATTTATTTTAATTTAGTAGGTTTGAAACAGTCCTTTTGAAGAATATGCTTAAGGGATACTTGGGAGCACATTGAGGCCTATGGTGACAAAAAGAATATCCCCAGATAAAAACGAAAATGAAGATAGCTTTGAATCTGCTTTGGTATGTGTGGATTCATCTAACAGAGTTAAACCTTTCTGTTGATTCAGCAGTTTGAAAACACTGTTTTTGTAGACTCTGCGAAGGAACGCTTGGAAGATGATTGAGGCCTTTGGTGAAAAAATGAGTATCCCCAGAAAAAAACTAAAAAGAAGCTATCTGTGAAATTCCTTTGTGATGTGTGGATTCAACTTACAGAGATAAATCCTTCTTTTGATTCAGCAGGTTGGAAACAGTCCTTTTTTAGAATCGGTGAAAGGACATTTTGGAGCTCATTGAGGTCTATGTTGAAGAAGCGAATATCCCAAGATAAAAACTAAAAAGAAGCTATCTGTGAAACTGCTTTGTGATGTGTGGATTCATCTCAGGGGTAAACCTTTGTTTTGATTCAGCTATTTACAAACTCTTTTTTAGAAGTATCTGTGAAGGGACACTTGTGAGCTCATTGAGGCCTGTGGTGAAAAAGTGACTTCAGATAAAAACAGAAAAGAAATTATCTGTTAAACTTGTTTGTGATTTGTGGATTCATCTCATAGAGTTAAACTTTTCCTTTGTTTCAGGTGGTTTGAAAGATTCCTTTTGAAGAATCTGTGAAGGGACATTTGGGAGCCCATTGAGACTTATGGTGACAAACTGAATATCCCCAGACAAAAATTAGAAAGAAGGTATCTGTGAAACTGCTTTGTTATGTGTGGATTAATCTCACTGAGTTAAAGCTTTCTTTTGACTCAGCAAATTGGAGACACTTTTTCTTAAATATCTGTGAAGAGATATTTGGAAGATCATTGACGCCTATGGGGAAAAAACTGAATATTCCCAGAAAAAAAGTAGAAAGAAGCTATCTCTGAAACTGCTGTGTGATGTGTGGATTCATCCAAAAGACTTAAACATTTCTTTTGATTCAGCATTTTGGAAACACTCTTTTCAAAGGAACTGTGAAGGAATATTTGGGAACCCATTGAGGTGTAGAATCTGTGAAGAGATATTTGGGAGCACATTGAGGCCTATTGTGTAAAAGCAAACATCCCCAGGTAAAAACTAGAAAGAAGTTATCTCTGAAACTGTTTTGTGATGTTTGCATTATTCTCACAGAGTTGAACCTTTCTTTTTATTCAGCAGCTTGGAAACAGTCCTTTTGTAGAATCTATGAAGGGATATTTTGGAGCATATTGAGAACTATGGTGACAAACCGTATATCCCCAGATAAAAACTAGAAAGAATGTATCTGTAAAACTGCTTTCTGTTGTGTGGATTCATCTCACAAAGTTAAGCCTTCCTTTTGATTCAGCAGTTTGGAAGCAGTGTTTTTGTAGAATACACGAAGGCACATTTGGAAACCCATTGTGGCCTATAGGTAAAAAATGAATATCCCAAGATATATACTAGAAAGAAGCTATCTTTGAAACTGCTCTTTGATGTGTAGATTCATCTCCTACAGTTAAAACTTTCTTCTGATTCAGAAGGTTGGAACACTCTGATTGGAGTATCTTCAAATGGACATTTATGAGCTTCTCGAAGACTATGGGGAAAAACTGAATATCCCCAGTTAAAAACTATGAAGAATTTGTCTCTGAAACTGCATTGTGATGTGTGGATTCATGTCACAGAGTTAAACATTACTTTAGATTCAGCCCATTGGAAAAATTCTAATTGGAGAATCTGCAAAGGCACATTTGGGAGCCCATTGTGGCCTAAGTGTAAAAACAGATTATTCACAGATACACACTAGAAAGAAGCTATCAGTGAAACTCATTTTTATGTGTGGATTTATGTCAAGGAGTTAAGACTTTCTTTTGATTCAGCAGGTTGGAAACACTCTTTTTGGAAAATCTGTGAAGGGACATTTGGGAGCCCATTGAGGCCTATGGGGAGAAACCAAATATCTCCAGATAAAAACCAGAAAAAAACTATCTGTGAATCTGATTTGTAATGTGTAAATTCATCTATCAGAGTTAAACCTTTCTTTGTATTCAGCAGGTTGGAAAAACACTTTTTGTAGAATCTGCAAAGGGACATTTGGGAGGCCATTGAGGCCTAAGTGTAAAAATAGAATATCCCAAGATAAAAATTAGAAAGAAGCTATCCTTGAAACCGGTTTGTGATGTGTGGATTCACCTCCCACAGTTAAACCTTTATTTTGATTCAGGAGGTTGGAAATACTCTTTTTGAAGAATATGTGAAGGGACTTTTGGGAGGCCTTGGAGGGCAATGGGGAAAAAAATCCACAGATAAAAATTAGAAGGAAGCCATCTGTGTACCTGCTATGTGATGTGTGGATTCATCTCATGGAGTTAAACCTTTCTTTGATTCACCAGGTTGGAAACACTCTAGTTGGAGAATCTCTGAATGGACATTTGGGAGTCAATTGAGGCCTGTGGAGAAAAACAAAGTATCCCAAGATAAAAACTAGAAAGAAACTATCTGTGAAACTGCTTTGTGATGTTTGGATTCATCTCACAGAGTTAAACCTTTCTTTTGATTCAGCAGGTTGTAAGCAGTCTTTTTAGATAATTTGCAAAGGGATATTTGTCAGCCCGTTATGGCCTATGGGGAAAAACTGAAAACTTCCAGATGAAAAGTAGAAGGAAGCTATCTTTTAAACTGCTTTGTGATTTGTGGATTCATCTCACAGATTTAAACCTTACTCTTGATTAAGCAGGTTGGAAGCACTCTTTTCTTAGGATCTGTGAAGTGGCATTTGGGAACCCATTGAGGCCTATGGGAAAAACTGAATATCCTTAGATAAAAACTAGAAAGCATCTATGTGTGAAACTGCTTTCTGATGTGCAGATACATCTCACAGACTCATAACTTTCTTTTGGTTCAGCAGGTTAGAAATGCTGTTTTTGGAAAATCTGCTAAGGGACATCTGAGAGCCCATTGATGCCTATGGGAATAAACAGAATATCTCCAGATAAAAACTGAGAAGAAGCTATCCATGAAACTGCTTTGTGATATGTGGATTCATCTAACAGAGTTAAGACTTATTTTGATTAAGCATGTTGGAATCACTGTTTATGGAGAATCTGTGAAGGCACACTTGGGAGACCATTGTGGCATTGGAAAAAAAACAGAATATCCTCTGATAAAAACTAGACAAAAGCTCTCCGTGAACTTTCTTTGTCATGTGTGGATTCATCTCGCAGAGGTAAACCTTTTTTTTATTTAGCAGGAGGGAATATTCTATATGAAGAATCTGTGAATGGATATTTTGAAGCCATTGAAATCTATGAGTAAAAAGAGAACGTTCCCAAATAAAAACTATAAAATCCTATCTCAGAAACTGCTTTGTGATTTGTGGATTCATCTCACGGAGTTAAACCTTTCTTTTGATCCAGCATGTTGGAAAAACTCTTTTTGTAGAATCAGTGAAGGGGCATTTGGGAGCCAACTGAAGCCTATGGGGAAGAAATATCCCCAGATAAAAAGTAGAAAGAAGGTATATGTAGAACTGCTGTGTATTGACTACATTAATCTAACAGAGTTAAGGATTTCTTCTGATCCAGCAGGTTGGAAACACTCTTTTTGTAGAATTTGCGACAGGACATCCAGGAACCCAGTGACACCTATGGAAAAAACTGAATATCCCCAGATATAAACTAGAAAGAAGCTATCTGAGGAACGACTTTTTTATGTGTGGATTCATCTCAAAGAGTTAAACCTTTCTTTTGATTCAGCAGTTTGGAAAAACTGTTTTTGTAGAGTCTGCGAAGGGATATTTAGGAGCTCATTGAGGCATATGGTTAAAAAGCGAGTATCCCCAGATAAAAACTAGAAAGAAGTTATCTGTGAAACTGCTTTGTGATGTGTGAATTCATCTCACAGGGTTAAATCTTTCCTTTGATTCAGCAGGTTGGAAACACTCTTTTCGTAGAACCTGTGAAAGGACGTTGGGTAGCCCATTGAAGCCTATTAGGCAAAATCGAATACCCCCAGATAAAAACAAGAAGGAATCTATCTTTGAAACTGCTTTGTGATGTGTGGATACATATCACAGAGTTAAACCTTTCTTTTGATTCAGCAGGTTAGAAACATTGTTTTTGTACTATCCACTAAAGGATGTTTCGGAGCCTATTGAGGCCTATGGGAAATAAAAGCAAATATCTCCAGATAAAAACTAGAAAGAGCTAAACGTTATTTTTGATTCAGCAGGATGGAAACACTTTATTTGTAGAAACTGTGAAGGGACATTTGGGAGTCCATTGAGGACTCAGCATAAAAAAAGAATATCCACAGATAAAAACAAGAAAGAAGCTATCTGTGAAACTGGTCTGTGATGTGAGGCTTCATCTGTCAGACTTCAACTATTCCTTTTATTTATCAGGTTGGCAACACTCTTTTTGGAGAATATGCAAAGGGACATTTGGGAGCCTTTGAGGCCAATGAGGAGAGACTCAATATGCACAGATAAAAACTAGAAGGAAGCTGTTTACCTGCTTTGTGATGTGTGGATTCATCTCACGGAATTAAACCTTTCTTTTGATTCATCAGGTTGGAAACACTACGTGGCATATCTTTGAATGGACATTTGGGAGTCCATTGAGGCTTATGGGGAAAAACCAAATATCCCAAGATAAAAACTAGGAAGAAGCTATCTGTGTAACTCCTTTGTGATGTTTGGATTCATCTCACAGAGTTAAATCTTCCTTTTGATTAAGCAGGTTGGAAACAGCCTCTTTAGAGAATCACTGGAGGGACTTTTGGCAGCCCATTATGGCCTGTGTGGAAAAACTGAATATTTCCAGTTGAAAACTAGAAAGAAGCTATCTGTGAAACTGCTTTGTGATATGTAGATTTATCTCATGGAGTTAAACCTTATTTTTTTCAGCAGGTTGGAAACATTCTTTTTTTAGTATCCGTGAAGAGACATTTGGGAACACATTGAGGCCTATGGGGAAAAACAAAATATCCTTAGAAAAAAAACTATAAAGAATCTATCTGTGAAACTGCTATGTGGTGTACAGATTCATCTCACTGAGTTATAACTTTCTTTTGATTCAGCAGGTTACAAACACTTTTTGGAAAAGCTGTTGAGGGAAATTTGATAGCCCATGGATGCCTACAGGAATAAACAAAATATCCCGTGATAAAAACTGGGAAGAAGCTATCTGTGAGACTGCTTTGTGAAATGTGTATTCATCTGACAGAGTTAAGACTTTATTTTGATCCAGCAGTTGGAATCACTTTTTTTGAACAATCAGTGAAGGGAATTTGGGAGTCCATTGAGGCCTAAGGGGATAAACCGAATATCTCCAGATAAAAACTAGAAAGAAACTATCTGTGAAACTGCTTTGTGTAGTGTGGATTCAACTCACAGAGGTAAACCATTCTTTTGATTCAGCAGATTGGAAATACTCTTATTATAGTATCTGCAAAGGGATATTTGGGAGTCCATTAAGGCCTATGAGGCAAAAGAAAATATCCCCTCAAAAAGCTAGATAGAATCTATCAGTGAATCTGCTTTGTGATGTGTGGATTCATCCAACAGAGTTAAACCTTTCTTTTGATTCAGCAAGTTGGAAGTACTCTTTTTGTAGAATCTGTGAAGGGACATTTGGGAGCATATTGAGGCCTAAGGGGTGAAGCCAAGTATCTCCAGATAAAATCTAGGAAAATATCTATCTGTGAAACTGGTATTTGTTGTGTGGATTCATCACAGAGTTAAAAATTTCTTTAGATTCAGTAGGTTGGAAACACTCTTTGAAGAATCTGCAGAGGGAATATTGGGAGTCCATTAAGGCCTATGGGGCAAAATGGAATATCCCTCCAAAAACTAGAAAGAATGTATCAGTGAAACTGCTTTGTGATGTGTGGGTTGATCCAACAAAGTTCAATGTTTCTTTTGATTCAGCAGGTTTTAAATGCCCTTTTTGTTGAGTCTGCAAAAGAACTTTTGAGAGCCCATTGAGGCCTATGGAGAAAAAACAAATATCCCCAGATGAAAACTAGAAAGAAGCTATCTGTGAAACTAATTTGTGAGGTTTGGTTGCAACTCACAGAGCTAAACCTTTCTTTTGATTCAGCAGGTTGAAAACTCTCTTTTTGCAGAATCTATGAAGACAAATTTGGGAGCCCGTTGAGGCCTAAGGGAAAAAACAGAATATCCCCAGTTAAAAACTAGAAAGAAGCCATCTGTGAAACTTCCTTGTGATGTGTGGATTAATCTAACAGAGGTAATCCTTTCATTTGATTCAGCAGGTTGGAAACACTCTTCTAGGAGAATCTGTGAAGGGACATTTGTGAGACCACTGAGGCCTACAGCAAAAAACAGAATATTCCCATATAAAAACTAGAAAGAAGCTATTTGTAAAACTGCTTTATGATGTGTGGATTCATGTCACAGAGTTAAAACTTCTTTTGATTCAGCAGCTTGGAAACAATCTTTTTGTAGAATCTGCGAAGGGACACTTGCGAGCCCATTGAGGCCTATGGGGAAAAATTGAATATCCCCAGGTAAAAACTAGAAGGAAGCTATTTGTGAACCTGCTTTGTGATTTGTGGATTCATCTCACAGAGTTAAAACTTTCTTTTGATTCTAAAGGCTGAAATCACTCTTTTTGGAGAATCTAATATGGGACATTTAAGAGCCCATTGAGGCCTATAAAGAAAAAATAAATTTCACTAAATCAAACTAGAAAGAAGCTATGTGTAAAACTGCTTTGTGATGTGTGAAATCAGCTCACAGAATTAAACCTTTATTTTTATTCAGCAGGTTGGAAACACTTTTTTTTTTGTACAATCTTCACAGGTCATTGCGAGCTTATTAAGGCCTAATGGGCAAAACAGAATATATCCAGAAAAAAAAATAAAAAGAAGATATCTCTGAAACTGCTGTGTGTTGTGTGAATTCATCCAACAGAGTTAAAGCTTTCTTTTGATTCAGCACGTTTGAAACACTCTTTTGGCAAATCTCCAGAGGGACATTTTGGAGCCCATTGAGGCCTATGGAGAAAAACTGAATATCCCCAGAAAAAAACTAGAAAGAAGCTATCTGTGAAACTCCTTTCTATGTTTGATTTCAGCTTGCAGAGTTAACCTTTCTTTTGATTCAGCAGGTTGGAAATTCTCTTATTGGAGAATCTGCAAAGGAATATTTTGGAGCCCATTGAGGCCTGTGGGAAAAATGAAATATCCCAATATAGAAATTAGAAAGAAGCTATTTGTGAAACTGCTTTCTGATGTGTGGATTCATCTCACAGAGTTAAACGTTTGTTTTGATTAAGCAGATTGGAAACACTCTTTCTGTTCAATCTGCAAAGGGACATTTGAGAATGCTTATAGACCTATGGTGATAAAGAAAATATCCCCAGATATAAACTAGATAGAAGCTATCTGTGAAACTGCTTGGTGATGTGTGGATTCAACCTATAGAGTTAAACCTTTTTTTTTTTTTTTTTGAGACGGAGTCTCACTCTGTCGCCCAGGCTGGATTGCAGTGGCACGATCTCGGCTCACTGCAAGCTCCGCCACCTGGGTTCACGCCATTCTCCTTCCTCAGCCTCCCGAGTAGCTGGGACTACAGGCGCCTGCCACCACGCCTGGCTGATTTTTTGTATATTTAGTAGAGACGCGGTTTCACCATGTTAGCCAGGATGGTCTCGATCTCCTGACCTCGTGATCCGCCCGCCTCGGCCTCCGAAAGTGCTGGGATTACAGGCTTGAGCCATGGTGCCCGGCCAAACCTTTCTTTTAATTCAGCATGTTGGAAACACAGTTTTTGTAGAAACTGTGAGGGTACATTTTGGAATGCATTGAGGCCTATTGTGAGAAAGCAAATATCCCCAGATAAAAAATAGAAAGAAATTACCTGTAAAACTGCTTTGTGATGGGTTGACTCATGTCACAGATTTAAACCTTTCTTTTGATTCAGCAGTTTGACTGCTTTTGTAAAATCTGCAAAGGGACATGTGGGAGATCATTGAGGTCTATGATTAAAAAGGGAATATCCCGACAGGAAAACTAGAAAGAATCTAACTGAGAAACTACTTTGTAACGTGTGGATTCATCTCACAGAGTTAAACCTTTATTGTGATTAAGCCGTTTCAAAACACTGATTTTATAGAATCTGCAAAGGGACATTTGGGAGTGCATTGAAGCCTATGGTGGAAAAGCAATTATCATTAGATAAATATGAGAAAGAAGCCATCTGTGAAACTCCTATGTGATGTGTGGATTCATCTCAGAGAGACAAACCTTTCTTTTGATTCAGCATGTTGGATAGAGTTTTTTTGTAGAATCTGCAATGGGACATTTGGCAGCCCATTGAGTCCTATGAGAAAAAAACAAATATCCCCGTATGAAAACTAGAAATAATCTATCTGTGAAACTGTTTTGTGATGTGTGGATTCAACTCACAATGTTAAAAATTTCTTTTCATTCAATAGGTTTTAAACGATCTTTTAGGAGAATCTGTGAAAGGACGATTTGGGAGCCCATTGAGGCCTATTGGGAAAAAAACAAATATCCCCAGATAAAAACTAGAAAGAAGGTATCTGTGAAACCATTTTAGATTTGTGGATTCACCTCACAAAGTTAAACATTTCTTTTGATTAAGTGATTGGGAACACTTTTTTGGAGAATTTGCAAAGGGACATTTGGAAGTTAATTGAGACCTATAGGGAAAAACTGAATATCTCCAGATAAAAACTACAAAGAAGTCTTCTGTGAAACTGCTTCCTGATATGTGGATTCATCTCACAGAGATAAAACTTCCTCTGATTGAGCAGGTTGGAGCCACTCTTTTTAGAGAATCTATGATGGGATGTTTCAGAGCACATTGAGGCCTAAGAGGAAAAACAAAATATCTCCAGATAAAAAACACAAAGAAGCTGTCTGTTAAACTGCTTTCTTATATAGATTCATCACACTGAGTTAAATTTTCCTCTGATTCTGCAGATTGAAAACACTCTTTTTTGAGAAACTGTGAAAGGATATTAAGAAACCTTTGAGGCCTATGGGAAAAGATTGAATATTCCTAAGTAAAAACTAGAAAGAAGCTATCTGTGAAACTGCTTTGCGATGTGTGGATTCATCTCACAGAGTCAAACTTGTCTTTTGATTCAACAGATTGCAAACACTCTTGTTGGAGAATCTGCAATGGGACATTGAGCAGACCTTCGAGACCAATAGGGAAAAACTGAATATCCCCTGATAAACACTAGAAAAAAGTTAACTGTGAAACTGCTTAGTGAGGTGTTTATTCATCTCACAGAGTTCAACCTTTCTTTTGATTCAGCAGGTTGGAAACACTCTTTTTAGAGTATTTGTGAAGGGACATTTGAGAGCCCTTAGAGGCCTATCAGGAAAAAATGAATGTCTCCAGATAAAAACTAGAAAGCAGCCGTCTTTGAAATTGCTCTCTGATGTGTGGATTCATCTCACAGGATTAACCATTTATTTTTAATCAGTAGGTTGGAAACATGCTTTTTGTAGAATATGCAAAGGGTCATTTTGGAGCCCATTGAGGCCTATAGGAAAAAACTGTATATGCCCAGATTAAAACTAGAAAGAAGCTATCTGTGAAGTTACTTTGTTATGTATGGGTTCGTCTCACAGAGTTAAACCTTTCTGTTGATTCAGGGCGTTGGAAATGCTCCTTTTAAAGAATCTTTGAAGGGTGATATGGAAGCCTATAAGGCCTATGGGAAAAAGCCAAATATTCCCAGTAAAAACAAGAAATAACGTATCTGAGAAAGTGCTTCTTGATGTGTGGATTCAGCTCACAGAGTTAATCCTTGCTTTTGACTCAGAAGGTTAGAAATGCTCTCTTTGGAGAATCTATGAAGGGATATTTGGGAGCCCACAGAAGGCTATGGGGAAAAACTGAATATCCCCAGATAAAAAATAGAAAGAAACTCTCTATGAAACTGCTTTGGGAGGTTTGGAATCATCTGACAGAGTTAAAACTTTCTATTGATTCACCAGGCTGGAAACACTCTTTTTGGAGAATCGGTGACGGGACATTTGAGAGCCCAATGAGACCTATGGGGCAAAACAGAATATCACCAGATTAAAACTAGAAAGAAGCTATCTGTGAAACTCCTTTGTGATGTGTGGATTAATCTCAGAGAGTTAAACCTTTCTTTTGATTAAGCATGTTGGAATCAGTCCTTTTGTAGAATGTCCAAAGGGGCATTTGGGAGTGCACTGAGGCCTATGTTGACAAACTGTATATTCCCAGATAAAAACTAGAAAGAAGTTATCTGTGAAACTGCCTTGTGATGTGTGGATTCATCACACAGAGTTAGGCCTTTCTTTTATTTAAGCAGTTTGGAAACACTTTGTAGAATCTGTGAAGGGACATTCAAGAGTGCATTGAGGACTATGGTGAAAAAGAGAATATCCACTGATTAAAAAGAGAATATCCACTGATTAAAAATAGAAAGAAGCTATCTGTGAAACTGCTTTGTGATATGTGGATTCATCTCACAGAGTTAAAACTTTATTTTGATTCAGTAGTTTGGAAACACTGTTTTTGTAGAATCTGTGAAGGGACATTTTGGAGCTCATTGAGGCCTATGGTGGAAAAGAAAATATCCCCAGATAAAAACTAGGAAAATGTTATTTGTGAAACTGTTTTGTGTTGTGTCAATTCCTATCACAGAGTTTAAACTTTCTTTTGATTTGGCAGGTTGCAAAGGGTCCTTTGTAGAATCTGCAAGGGGACCTTAAATAGCATATTGAGTTCTATGGTTACAAACTGAATATCCCCAGATAAGGAATAGAAAGAAGCTATTTGTGGAACTGCTTTGAGATGTGTGGATTCATCTCACAGAGTTAAATCTTTCTTTTGATACAGCTGTATGGAAACACTGTTTTTTTAGAATCTGCAAAAGGGTTTCTGGGAGTGCATTGAGGCCTATAGTGAAAATGTGAATAAACGCAGACAAAAACTAGAAAGAAGATACCAGTGAAACTGCTTTGTGATGTATGGACTCACTTCTCAGAGTTAAACCTATCTTTTGATTCAGCCATTTGGAAATACTGTTTTTTTAGAATCTGCAAAGGGACATTTAGGGGCCCATTGAGGCCAGTGGGGAGAAACCAAATATCCAGAGATAAAAACTAGAAAGAAGCTGTCTGCGAAACTGCTTTGTCTGTGTGGATTCATGTCTCAAAGGTAAAACTTTCTTTGGATTCAGCAGATTGGCAACACTCTTTGTGGACAATCCGTGAAGAAATATTTAAGAGCCCACTGAGGCTTATGAAGGAGAACTGAATATCCCCAGATAAAAACTACAAAAAAGCAATCTGTGAAACTACTCATTGATGTGTGGATTCATCTCACACAGTTAAACCTGTCTTTAGTTTCAGTAAGTTGGAAGCAGTCTTTTTGTGAAATCTATGAAGGGACATTTGGGAGCCCATTGAGGCCAATGGGGAAAACCTGAATATCCCAGTTAAAAACTAGAAAGAATCCATCTGTGAAACTGCTTTGTGATGTGTCAATTCATCTCCCAGAGTTAAATGTTTCTTTTGATTCTGCAGGTTTAAAACCCTATTTTTGAGAGTCTGTGAGGGTACACTTTGTAGCCCATTGAGTCTTATTGGGAAAAACTAGTAATCCCCAGGAAAAAAAAAACTAGAAAGAAGCTCTCTGTAAATTGCTCTGTGATGTGTGGATGCATCTCACTGAGTTAAACCTTTCTTTTGATCCAGCAGGTTGAAAACACTCTTTTTGTAGAATCTGAGAAGAGACATTTGGGAACCCTTTGAAGCCTAGGGGAAAAACTCAATATCCACAGATAAAAATTAGAAAGCACGTATTTGTGAAACAGCTTTGTGATTTGTGGTTTCCTCTCACAGAGTTAAACCTCTCTTTTGATCCATTAGGTTGGAAACACGGTTTTTGGAGAATCTGCATAGGAATGTTTTGGAGCCCATTGAGGCCTATGTGGCAAAATGTAATATGCAGAGATAAAAATGAGAAGAAGCTATCTGTGAAACTGCTTTGTGATGTATGCATTCATCTCAGGGACTTCAAACTTTCTTTTGCTTCAGCAGGTTGGAAGCATTCTTTTTGTAAAATCTGTGAAGGGACATTCAGGAGCCCGTTCAGGCATATGGGGAAAATTCAAATATCCCCAGATAAAAACTAGATAGAAACTATCTGTGAAACAGCAACAGCTTTGTGATGTGTGGAAGACTCATCTCACATAGTTAAATCTTTCTGTTGATTTAACGGCTTGGAAACACTCTTTACGGAGAATCTGCAAAAGGACAATCGGGAGCCCATTGAGGCCTATGGGGAAAGACTGAAAATCTCCAGGTAAAAACCAGAAAGAAGGTATCTGTGAAACTGCTTTTTGATGTGTGGATTTATCTCACAGAGTTAAATCTTTCATTTGATTCAGCAGGTTGGACAGGCTTTTTATGCAGAATCTGCAAAAAGATGTAAGGGAACACATTTTCTTCTAAGAAGAAAAAGCAACTATCCACAGATGAAAACTAGAAAGAAGCTCTCTGAGAAACTGCTTTCTAAAAAGTGGATCAATTTCATAGAGTTAAACCTTTCTTTTGATTCAGCAGGCTGGAAACAATCTATTTGGAGAATCCGCACATTACATTTTGGGGCCCATTGAGGCCTATGGGTAAAAACTGAATATCCCCAGATAAAAACTAGAAAAAAGCTATTTCTTAAACTGATTCATGATGTGTCGATTCATCTCACAGAGTTAAAGCCTTGTTTTGATTCAGCAGGTTGGAAATGCTCTTTTTGTAGATTCTGCAAAGAGACAAAATGGAGCACATTTTCTTCTAAGAAGAAAAACTGACTATCCACAGATAAAAACTAGAAAGAAATTATCTGAGAAACTGCTTTGTAATAAGTGGATTAATCTTACAAAGTTAAATCCGTCTTTTGATTCAGCAGCCTGGAAACAATCTATTTGGAGAATCTGTGAGGTTGTATGTGGGAGCCCATTGAGGCCCATGGGTAAAAACTGAATATCCCTAGGTAAAAACTAGAAAGAAGATATTTCTGAAACTGATTCTTAATGGGTGGATTAAACTCACAGAGTTAAATCCTTCTTTTGATTCAGCGGGTTTTAAACCCTCATTTTGGATAATATGTGAATGAATTTTTTGGAGCGCTTTAAGGCCTATGGGGAGAAGCCAAATATCCGCAGTTAAAAACTAGAAAGAAGCTATCTGTGTAACTGCTTTTGTGATGTGTGGATTTGTCTCATGGAGTTAAACTTTTCTTTTTCTTCAGCAGGTTTGAAAAACTCTCTTTGTAGGATCTGCGAAGAGACATTTTGGAACCCATTGAGACCTCTGTGAAAAACAGAATATACCAATGTAAAAACCAGAAAGAAGCTATCTGTGAAACTGTTTTGTGATGTGTGGATTCATCTCACAGAGTTAAATCTTTCTTTTGATTCAAAAGCTTGGGAACAGTTTTTTCAAGAATCTGTGAAGAGATACTTGGGAGCCCATTGAGGCATATGGGTAAAAACTGAATATTTTCATATAAAAACTAGAAAGAAGCTTTCTGTGAAACTGCTTTGTGATGTGTGCCTTCATCTCACAGACTTAAATCTTTCTTTTGACTTAGCAGGTTGGAAACAATCTTTTTGTAGAATCTGCCAAATGACATTTGGGAGCAAATGGAGTTCTAAGAGAACAAACCAAATATCTCCAGATAAAAACTAAAAAGAAGCTATCTGAGAAACGGATTTGTGATGTGTGTGTTCATCTCACAGAGTTCAAAGTTTCTTTTGATTTATCAGGTTGGAAATCCTTTTTTGGAGAATCTGTGAAGGGACATTTGGGAGACCTTTGCTGTCTAGGGGAAAAATTGAAAATTCCCCCCCCAAAAAACTGGAAAGAATCTATCTGTGAAACTGGTATTTTATGTGTTGATTCATTGCACTGAGTTAAACTTTTCTTTAGAATCAGTATGTTGGAAACACTTTTTTTGGAGAATCTGCCAAGGGACAATTCATAGCCCATTGAGGCTTAAAGGAAAAAGAAGAAATATCCATGGATAAAAACTAGAAAGAATTTATCTGTGAAAAAGATTTGTGATGTGTGGACTCCACATAAAGCTAATTTTTTTTTTTTAATTTAGCAGGTTGGAAACAATCTTTTTGTAGAATCTGTCAAGAAACATTTGGAAGCCCATTTATGCATGGGGAAAACTGAATATCCCCAGATAAAAACTAGTAAGAAACTATCAGTGAAACTGCTTTGCCGTGTTTGGATTCTTCTCACAGAGTTAAACCTTTCTTTTGATTTAGCAGATTGGAAAAGCTCTTTTTCGAGAATCTGCAATGGGACATTTTGGAGATCATTGAGGCCTATGGGGGAAAACATATATGACCAGGTAAAAACTAGAAAGAAGCTATCTGTGAATCTGCTTTGTGATGTGTGGATTCCTCTCACTGAGTTAAAGCTTTATTTTGATTAACCAGCCTGAAAAACTCCTTTTGAAGAATCCATGAAATGACATTTTGGAGCCCATGAAGCCTATGGGCAAAACTGTATATACCTGGAAAAAAACTAGTAAGAAGCTATCTGCTAAACGGCTTTGTGATTTGTGATGTGTGGATTCATCTCACAAAGTTAAACCTTTCTTTTGATTCAGAAAATTGGAAAAACTCATTTTGTACAATCTGTGAAGGGACATTGGGAGCCCACTGAAGCTTATGGGGAAAAACTAATTATCCTCAAATAATAACTAGAAAGACGCTATCTGTGAAACTGCTTTGTGATTTGTGGATGCATCTCACAGTGTTAAATCTTTCTTTGGTTCAGCATGTTGGAAACACTCTTTGGAGAATCTGTGAAAAGACATTTCATGGCCCGTTGGGGTTTATGAGGAAAAACCAAATATCCCCAGATGAAAACTACAAAGAAGCTATCTGTGAAACTGCTTTGGGAAGTGTGAATTTATTTCAAAGAGATAAACTTTCCTTTTGAATCAGCAGGCTGCAAACACTCTTTTTGGAGAATCTGTGAAGGGACATTTGAGGGCCCTTTGAGGCCTATGGGGAAAAACTGAATAGGCCCATTTAAAAACTAGAAAGAAGCTATGTGTGAAACTGCTTGATGATGTGTGGATTCATCTCACAGAGTTAAAACTTTTCTTTGATTCAGCAGGTTGGAAAAACCCTTTTTGGAGAATCTGTGAAGAAACATTTGGGAGCCCATTAAGGTTTAGGGGGAAAACAAAGTATACCTAAAAAAGAACTAGTAAGAATCTATCTGGGAAATAGCTTTGTGATGTGTGGATTCATCTTACAAAGTTAAACCTTTCTTTTGATTCAGAAAATTGGAAACACTCAGTTTGTAGGAACTGCAAATGGACATTTAGTAGCCCATTGAAGACTATGGGGAAAAACAAAATATCCCCAGATAACAACTAGAAAGAAGCTATCTGTGAAACTGCTTTGTGATTTATGGATTCATCTCACAGGATGAAACTTTGTGTTTGATTCAGCATTTGGAAACACTCTTTGGAGAACCTGCAAAAAGACATTTTGGAACCCAGTGAGGTTTATGGGAAAAAAACAAATATCTTCAGATGAAAACTAAAAAGAAGCTCTCTGTGAAGCTGCTTTGGGATGTGTAAATTCATTTAAAAGAGGTAAACTTTTCTTTTGTTTCAGCAGGTTGGAAGTACTCTTTTTGGAGAATCTGCGAAGGGACATTTTGGAGCCCTTTGAAGTCTATGGGGAAAAATTGAATATCCCCAGAAAAAAACTAGAAAGATGCTAACTATGAAACTGGTATTGGATGTGTAGTTTCATCACACAGAGTTAAACCTTTCTTTGGAATCAGTAGTTTGGAAACACTCTTTTTGGAGAACCTGTGAAGGGACATTTGGGAGCCCATTGAGACCTAAGTGAAAAAACGGAATATCCATGGATAAAAATAAGAAAGTACATATGTGTGAAACTGCTTTGTGATGTGTTGATTCATCTCACAGAATTAAAACTTTCTTTTGATTCAGCAGATTGGAAACACTCTTTTTGGAAAATCTGTGAAGAAATATTATGGAGCCCATTGAAGTCAAGGGGGAAAGCAGAATATACTTAGAAAAAAAACTAGTAAGAAGCTATCTGTGAAATGGCTTTGTGATGTGTGGATTCATCTCACAAAATTAAACCTTTCTTCTGATTCAGGAAATTGGTAACACTCATTTTGTAGAGTCTTAGAAGGGATATTGGGAGCCCATTGAAGCCTATGGGGAAAAACTGAATATCCCCAGATAACAACTATAAAGAAGCTGTCTGTGAAACTGCTTTATGGTTTGTGGATTGATCTCACAGTGTTAAAACTTTCTTTTGATTGAGCATGTTGGAAACACTGTTTGGAGAATCTGCAAAAAGACATTTGGGAGCCCACTGGGGTTTATGGGGAAAAAATGACTATTCCCAGATAAAAACTAGAAAGAAGCTATCTGTGAAAATGCTTTGTGATGTTGAATTCATTTCAAAGAGTTAAACCCTCTTTTGATTCAGCAGGTTGGAAACACTTTTTTTGGAGATTCTGCTAAGGGATATTGAGGAGCCCTTTGAGGACAATGGGGAAAAACTGAATATCCCCAGATAAAAACTAAAAAGAAGCTATCTGCGAAATTGCTTAGTGATGTGTGGATTCATCTCACAATGTTAAAACTTCCTTTTATTCACGAGGTTGAAAACACGTTTTTGAACTATTTGTGAAGGGTTATTTTGGAGCCCATTGAGCCCTATGGGGAAAAATGGTGTATCCCCAGTTAAAAACTAGAAAGAAGCCATGTGTGGAATAGCTTTGTGATGTATCAATTCATCTCCCAGAGATAAATATTTCTTTTGATTCAGCAGGTTGGAAATGCTCCTTTTGGAGAATCTGCAAAGGGACATTTCATAGCCCATTGAATCCTATTTCGAAAAACCGATTATCCCTAGAAAAAAAACTGGAAAAAAGCTATCCGTGAAACTGCTTCATGATATGTCAATTCAGCTCACAGAGGTAAAATTTCTTTTGATTCAGCAGGTTGGAAACTATTATTATAGGATCTGCCAAGGAACACTTGGGAGCCCATTAAGGCCTATGGGGCAAAACAAAATATCCCCCCAAGAAAACTGGAAAGAATCTATTGTTTAAACTGCTTTGTGATGTGTGGATTCATCTCACAGGTTTAAACCTTTCTTTTGATTCAGCAGATTGGAAACACTCTTTTCAGAGGATGTGCAAAGGGACAGCTCAGAGACCAATGTGGCATTTGGGGAAAAACCTAATATCCCCAGATAAAAACTAGAAAGAAGCTATCGGTGAAATTGATTTCTGATGTGTGGATTCATCTCTCAGAATTAAAGCTTTCTTTTAATTCACCAGCTTTAAAACACGGCTTTTGCAGAATCTGTGGAAATACATTTTGGTTCCGATTGACATCTATGTGCAAAATGGAATATACCTAGAATAAAATGATTAAGAAGCTATCTGAGGAATGGCTTTGTGATATGTGGATTCATCTCACAAAGTTAAACCTTTCTTTTGAATCAGTAAATTGTAAACACTCATTTTGTACAATCTGCAAAGGGACATTGGGAGTCCATTCAAGCCTGTGAAGGTAAACCGAACATCCCCAGATAACAAATAGAAAGAAGCTGTCTGTGAAACTGCTTTGGGATTTGTGGATTCATCTCACAATGTTAAGCTTTTTTTTTTTTTTTTGATTCATCATGTGTGAAGCACTCTTTGGAGAATCTGCAAAAAGGCATTTTGGGACCAACTGGGGCTTCTGGGGAAAAAAACGAATATCTTTAGATAAAAAATAAAAAGAAGTTATCTGTGAAACTGCTTTGGGAGATGTGAATTCATTTCAAAGAGTTAAACCTTTCTTTTGATTCAGCAGGTTGGAAATGCTCTTTTTGGAGATTGTGCAAAGGGACACTTGGGAGCCCTTTGAAGCCTGTGAGTAAAAACTGAATATCCCCAGATAAAAACTAGAAAGAAGCTATGTGTAAAACTGCCTGGTGATGTCTGGATTCATCTCACAGAGTTGAAACTTTCTTTTCATTCACCAGGTTGGAAACACTCTTCTTGAAGTATTTGTGAAGGGACACTTGGGACCCCATTGAGGTCTATGGGGAAAAACAGAATGTCCCCAGTTAAAAACGAGAAAGAAGCCATCTGTGAAACTGCTTTCTTATGTAACAATTCGTCTCCCTGAGTTAAACAATTCGTTTGATTCAGCAGGTTGGAAAAACTCTTTTTGGGGAGCCTGCAAAAGGACATTTTGTAGCCCATTGAATCCTATTATAAAAAACTGAATAGCCCCAGAATTAAAGCTATCTGTGAAATTGCATTGTGGTGTGTGGATTCATCTCAAAGAATTAAATCTTTGTTTTGATTCAGCAGGTTGGAAATACTCTTATTATAGATCTGTGACAGGACATTTGGGAGCCTAGTAAGGCATAAGGGGCAAACGGAATATCCCCCCAAAACAACTAGAAAGAATCTATCTGTGAATCTGCTTTGTGATGTGTGGATTCATCCAACAAAGTTAAACCTTTCTTTTATTTCAGCAGGTTGGAAACACTCTTTTTGGTGAATCTGGGAAAAGACCTTTGGGAGCCCATTCCAGCCTATGGAGAAAAAGAAAATATCCCCAGATTAAAAACTGTAAATAAGTTCTCTGTGAAACTGCTTTATGACGTTTGGTGTCACCTCACAGAGTTAAACCTTTCTTTTGATTCAGCAGGTTGGAAGCTCTCTTTTTGGACAATCTGCAAAGGCATATTTGGGAGCCCATTGAGGCCTAAGGGAAAAACTGAATATCCCCAGTTAAAAATGAGAAAGAAGCTCTCTGTGAAACTGTTTCATGAAGTGTGGATTCATTTAACAGAGATATACCTTTCATTTGATTCAGAAGTCTGGAAACACTCTTCTTGGAGAACATGTGAAGGGATATTTATGAGCCCATTCAGGCCTATGGAGAGAAACTGAATATCCCCATATAGAAATTAGAAAGAAGCTATCTGTGAAACTGCTATATGATGTGTGGATTCGCTTCACAGAGTTAAAGCTTTCTTTTCATTCTGTAGGCTGAAACACTCTTTTTATAAAATTTGTGAAGGGACATTTGGGAGCCCATTGAATCCTATGGGGAAAAACAGAGTATCCCCAGATAGAAACTAGAAAGAAGCTATCTGTGAAACTGCTTTGTGATGTGTGGATTCATCTCACAGTGTTATACCTTTCTTTTGATTTTGCAGATTGGAGACATGCTTTTTGGAAAGTCTTTGAAGAGACATTTAAAATCTCATTGAGGCCAATGAAGGAAAACTGAATATCCCTAAATAAAAACTGGAAAGAAGCTATCTGTGAAACTACTTGTTGATTTGTGGATTCATCCTGCAGAATTAAACCTTTCTTTTGTTTCAGCAGGATGGAAGCACTCTTTTGTTCCAGCAGGATGGAAGCACTCTTTTGTTCCAGCAGGATGGAAGCACTCTTTTTTGAAAGTCTGTGAAGGGACATTTGGGAGCCCATCGAGGCATATAGGAAAATAGATAAAAATTATAAAGAAGCTATCTTTGAAACTGCTTTGTGATGTGTGGCTTCATCTCACAGAGTTAAATATTTCCTTTGATTCAACAGGTTGGAATCACTCTTTTTTTTTTTTTTGAGATGGATTCTTGCTCTGCCACCCAGGCTGGAGTGCAGAGCTCACTGCAAGCTCTGCCTCCTGCGTTCATGCTATTCTCCTGCCTCAGCCTCCTGAGTAGCTGGGACTAAAGGTGCCCACCACCAAGCATGGCTAAATTTTTTTATTTTTAGAAGAAACGAGGTTTCACCGTGTTAGCTAGGATTGTCTCAATCTCCTGACATTGTGATCTGCCTGCCTCAGCCTCCCAGAGTGCCAGGATTACAGGCATGAGCCATTGTGCCCAGTGGTAACCACTCTTTATGGAGACTCTGTGAAGAGACAATTGGGAGTAAATTGTGGCCTAATGGGAAAAACTGAATATCTCCAGATAAAAACCAGAACCAAGCTATCTATCTGTTAAACTGCTTTGGGATGTGTGGATTTATCTCACAGAGTTAAACCTTTGTTTTGATTCAGCAGGTTGGAAACACTTTGTAAAATCTTCAGAAAGACATTTGGGAGCACATTGTAGGCCTAAGGGGAAAAAAAGAATGTCCACAGATGAAAACTAGAAAGAAGCTATCTGTGAAATTGCTTTGCCATTTGTGGATTCACCGTACAGAGGCAAACCTTTCCTTTGATTCAGCAGTTTGGAAACACTCTTTTTGGAGAATATGTGAAGTGATATTTGGGAGCCCATTGAGGCCTATGGGGAAAAACTGAACAACTTCAGATAAAAATTAAAAGAAGCTACATCTGAAACTGATATTTGAGGTGTGAATTCAAGTCCCAGAGAATGTGCAAAAAGACATTAGAAAGCCCATCGAGACTTATAGGAAAAACCCCAATATGCCCAGATAAAACTGAAAGGAAACTATACGTAAAACTGATTTTTGATATGTGGATTCAGCTGACATAGTTAAACCATTATTTTGATTCAGAAGGTTGGAAACACTTTTCTGGAGATTCTGCAAAGGGACATTTGGGAGCTCAGTGAGGGCTATGGTGAAAACTTGAATATCCCCAGGTAAAAACTAAAAAAAAGTGATACAAGAAACTGTTATGTGATGTTTGGATTCATCTCACAGAGTTAAAACTTTCTCTTGATTGATCAGCCTAGAAACACTCTATTTTGTGAAATCTGTGAAAGGACGTTTGGGAGCCCATTGAGGCCTAAGAGGTAAAAGAGATTATCCCAGAATAAAAACTAGAGGATAGTTATTTCTGAAACTGCTTTGTGACAGGTAGATTCATCTTAGAAGGTAAACCTATCTTTTCAATCAGTAGGTTGGAAGCATTCTTTTTCTAGAATCTGTGAAGGGACATTTTGAAGCCTGTTGAGGCCTATGGGAAAAACCAAAATTTCCCCAGATAAAAAATAGAAAGAAGCTACTTGTGAAGTTGCTTTCTGATGTGTGGATTCATCTCACAGAATTAAGCCTTTCTGTTGATTCAGCAGGTTGGACACACTCTTTTTCGAAAATCTGTGAAGGGAAATTTGGAAGCCAATGAGGCCTATGGGGAAAATTTTAATATCCCAAGATAAAAACTAGAAAGAAGCTTTTGGTGAAAATGCTTTGTTATGTGTGGATTAACCTCACTGACTTAAACATTTCCTTTCATTCAACAGGTTTGACACACTCTTTTTGGAGAATCTACGAAGGGTCATTTAGGAGCCCATAGGGGCCTATGGGGAAAAACTGAATATCCCCAAATAAAAAACTAGAAAAAAGCACTCTGTGAAACTACTTTGTGATGTGTGGATTCATCTCACAGAGTTACAACCCCTTTTTTGATGCAGCAGGTTAGAAACACTCTTTTTGATGTATTTGTGAAGGGACATTGGGAGCCCATTGTGGCCTATGAGGAAAAACTGAATATCCCCAGATTAAAAGCTAGAAGAAAAATCATCTGTTAAACTGCTTTCTGATGTGTGGATTCATCTCACAGTGTTAAACCTTTCTTTTCTTTCTGCAGGTTGGAAACACTCTTCTTGGAGAATCTGCAAAGGGACATTTGTAGCCCATTTAGTCCTATTGGGATAAACCAAATATCCCCAGAAAAAAAATTAGAAAGAAGTTATCTGTGAAACTGCTTTGTGATGTGTGGATTCATCTCACAGAGTTAAACCCTTCTTTTGATACAGTAGGCTGGAAACACTCTTTTTGTAGAATCTGAGTAGAAACATTTGGGAACTTATTGAAACCTATGAGGAAAAACCTCAATATCCACAGATAGAGATTAGAGAGAAGCTCTTAGTGAAACAGCTTTATGAAGCATAGATTGGTCTCAAAGAGTTAAAACTTTCTTTTGATTTAGCAGGCTGGAAATACTGTTTTTGGTGAATCTGCATAGGGATATTTTGGGGCCCTTTGAGGCCTACGTGGCACAAAAAAATATACACAGGTAAAAACTAGAAGAAGCAATATGTGAAACTGCTTTGTGATGGATGCATTCATCTCTGAGATTTCAAACTTTATTTTGATTTAGCAGGTTTGAAACACTCCTTTTGGAGAATCTGTGAAGGAACATTTATGAGCCTTTTGTGGTCTGTGTGGAAAAACAGGATATGCCCAGATTAACACTAGAAAAAAGCTATCTGTGAGACTGCTTTATGATGCTCAGATTCAGCCCACAGGGCTAAACTTTTCTTTGGTTCAACAAGTTGGAAACACTGTTATAGGATATGTGAAGGGACATTTTGATCCCATTAAGGCCTATGGGGCATAACCAAATATCCCCTGAAAAAGACCAAGAAGGAGGTATCTGTGAAACTGTTTTGTGATGTGTGGATTCATCCAACAGAGTTAAACATTTCTTTTGATTAAGCAGGTTAAAAACAGTCTTTTTCTGCAAATCTGTGAAGGGACTTTTGGGAGGCCATTGAGGCCTATGGAGAAAAACTGAATATCCCCAGATAAAAAATAGAAAGAAGCTCTCTGTGAAGCTGCTTTGTGATTTTTGGTTTCAACTCACAGCAGTAAACATTTACTTTGATTTAGAAGGTTGGAAAATCTCTTTTTGGAGAATCTGTGAAGCAACATTTTGGAGCCCATTGAGGCCAATGAGGAAATACCAAATATCCCCAGATAAAAACTAGAAATAAAGTATCTGTGAAAATTATTTGTGATGTGTGGATTAACCTAACAAAATTAGATCTTTCTTTTGATTCAGCAGGTTGGAAAAACTCTTTTTAAAGGATCTGTGAAGGGACATTTGGGACCCCATTGAGACCTATGAAGGAAAACTGAAAATCCCTAAATAAAAAGTAGAAAGATGTTACCTGTGAAAATGCTTTGTGATGTGTGGATTCATCTCAGAGTTAAACCTTTCTTTTGATTCAGCATGTTGGAAATTCTCTTTTTGGAAAATTGGCGATGAGACATTTGGGAGTCCTTTGAGGCCTATGGAGAAAAACTGAATATCCCCAACAAAAACTGGAAAGAATCTATCTGTGAGACTACTAGGAGATGTGTGGATTCATCTCACAGAGTTAAACCTTTCTTTTATTGCAGTAGGTTGGAAGCACTCTTTTTTAAGAATCTGTGAAGGGACATTTGGGAACCCATTGAGGCATACAGGAAAACCCAGATATCCCCAGATAAAAACTAGAAAGAAGCTATATTTAAAATGGCTTTTTGAAGTGTGGATTCATCTCACAGGGTTAAACCTTTCTTTTGATTCAGCATGTTGTAAACACTTTTTCTGTAGAATCTGTGAAGGGACATTTCAGAGCACATTGCAGCCTATGCTGAAAAAGAGAAAATCCCCAGATAAATACCAGAAACAAGCTACCTATGAAACTGATTTGAGATGTGTGGTTTCTTCTCACAGAGTTTAACCTTTCTTTTAATTCAGCTGGTTGGAAACCGTACTTTTTTAGAATATGTGAAAGGACATTTGGGAGTACATTGAGGCCAGTGGTGACAAACCAAATAACTCCAGATAAAAAGTGGAAGGAAGCTATCTGTGAAACTGCTTGGTGATGTATGGATTCACCTTACAGAGTTAAACCTTCCCTTAATTCAACAGGTTGGAAATACTCTTTTTGAAGAATCTGTGAAGAGTTATTTTGGAGCCCATTGGGGCCTATGCGGAAAAACCAATATCTCCAGATAAAAACTACAAAGAAACAAGCTGTTAAACTGCTTTGTGATGTGTGGATTCATCTCACAGAATTGAAGCTTTCTTTTCATTCAGCAGATTGCAAACACTCTTTTTGGAGAATCTGCAAAAAGACATTTGGGTGCCCATCATGGCCTATGGAAAAAAAACTGATTTATGCCTAGATGACACTAAAAGGAAGTTATGCATAAAACAGTTTTTGATGTGTTGATTCAACTCACAGAGTTAAACCACTCTTTTGATTCAGCAGATTGGAAACACTTTGTTTGGAGATTCAGTGAAGGGACATTTTGGAGCCAATTTAGGCCTACAAGAAAAAACTGAATATTTCCAGAAAAACTATGAAGAAGCTTTCTGATGTGTGGATTCATCTCACAGAGACCAACCTTCCTATTGATTCTTCGGCTTGGTAACACTGTTTTTAGAGAATATGTGAGGAAACATTTGGGAGCACATTGAGGCCTAGGGGGAGAAACAAAATATCCCCACATACAAACTACAAAGAAGCTATCTGTGAAACTGCTTTGTGATGTCTGGATTCATCACACAGAGTTGAATTTTCTTTTGATTCTAGGGATTGGAAACACTCTTCAGAGAATCGGTGAAGGGCCATTTAAAAGCCCTTTGAGGCCTACAGGAAAAAATGGAATATTCCTAAATAAATGCTAGGAAGAAGCTACCTGTGAAACTGCTTTGTGATGTGTGGATTCATGTCACAGATTTAAACCTGCCTTTTGATTCAGCAGATTGGAAACACTTTTTTTGTAGAATCTGTGAAGTGATATTTGGGAGCCCTTTGAGGCCTATGGGGAAAATATGACTACTTTCAGATAAAAACTTGAAAAAAAGCTAACTGTGAAACTGCTTGGTGATGTGTTGATTCATCTCACAGAGTTAAACCTTACTTTTGATTCAAAAGGTTAGAAACACTCTTTTTAGAGTATTTGCGAAAGGACACTTGGGAGCCCTTTGAGACCTATGGGAAAAAACTGAATATCTCCAGATAAAAACTAGAAAGACGCCATCTGTGCAACTGCTTTCTAATGTGTGGATTCATCTCACAGAGTTAAACCTTTCTTTTTAATCAGTAGGTTGGAAAATTCTTTTTGTAGAATATGTGAAGGGACGTTTTGGAGTCCATAGAGGCCTATGGAAAAAAACCTAATATCCCCAGATAAAACCTAGAAAGAAGCTATCTGTGAAAGTGCTTTTGGCTTTGTGGATTCATCTTACACATTTAATTTTTGCTTTCAACTTAGCAGGTTGTAAACACTATTTTTGGAGAATTTACAAAGAAACATTTGGGAGCCCATTGAGGACTATGGGGAAAAAAAACAGAATATACCCAGATGAAAAGTACAAAGAAGCTATCTGTGAAACTGCTTTGATTTGTGTGGATTAAACTCACATAGTTAAACATTTCTTTTGATGAAGCAGATTGGAAACTTTCTTTGGAGAATTTTCAAAAGGACATTTGGGAGCCAAATGAGGCCTATGGGGAAAACTGAATATCTCCAGCTACAAACTAGAAAGAAGCTTTCTGTGATACTTCTTGGTTATGTGTGGATTAGTCTCACAGAGTTAAAACTTTCCTTTGGTTCAGCACGTTGGAAACACTCTTTATAGAGAATCTGCTAAGGGACTTTTTGGAGCACATTGAGGCCTAAGGGGAAAAAAAAATAACCCCATATAAAACTAGAAAGAAGCCATCTGTGAAACAGCTTTGTGATGTGTGAATTCATCACACAGAGTTAAATGTTCTTTTGATATGCACTTTGAAAACACCCTTTTTGGAGAATCTGTGAAAGGACATTTTAGAGCTCATTGAGGTGTGAGGGAATAAACTGAATATTCCTACAAAAAACTAGAAAAAAATAGTCTGTGAAACTGCTTTGTGATGCGTGGTTTCATCTCACAGAATTAAACTTTTCTTTTGATTCACCACGTTTGAAACACTCTTTTTCGATAATCTGTGAAGGGACACTTGAGAGCCCTTTGAGGCCTACGGGGAAAAACCACATAATTCCAGATAAACTAGACAGAAGCTGTATTTGGAAATGGTTTTTAATGTGTGGATTCAACTCACAGAGTTAAAACTGTTTTGATTCAGCATGGTGGAAACTCTCTTTTTGGAGAATCTGCAAAGCGTCATTTGAGAGCCCATTGAGGCCTGTGGGAAAAAAATGAATATGCCCTGATAAAAATAAGAAAGAAGATATCTGTGAAACTGCCTTGTGATGTGTGGATTCATCTCAAAAGTTAAACCTTTCCTTTGATTAAACAGGTTGGAAACACTCTTTTCATACAATCTGCAAAGGGATATTTTGGAGCCTATTGTGGCCTATGGAGAAAAAGAGAATATCCCCAGATAGGAAGGAGAAAGAATGTGTCTGTGAAACTGCTTTTTGACGTGTTGATTCATCTCAGAGCTTTAAAACTTTCTTTTGATTCGGCATGTTGAAAACACTTTTTTTGGAGAATCTGCAAAGGGATACTTCAGAGTTTATTGAGGCATACCGGGAAAAACTGAATACCCTGAAATAAAATCTAGAAAGAATCTAACTGTGAAACTGCTTTGTGACCTGTGGATTCATCTCAAAGAGTCAAAAACTTTCTTTTGATTCAGCAGGTTGTAAACACTCTTCTTGGAGAATCCGTGAAAAAACATTTTGGAGCCCATTGAAGCTTATTGGGAAACTTCAAATATCACCAGATAAAAACTAGAAAGCGGCTATCTGTGAAACTGCGTTGTGATGTGTGGATTCATCTCACAGAGATAAATGATCCTTTTGATTCGGTAGGTTGGAAACGCTCTTTTTGGACAATCTGCAAAGGGACATTTGGGATCCCATTGAGACCTGTGAGGAAAAACCGAATATCCCCAAATAAAAAATAGAAAGAAGCTATCTGTGAAACTGCTTTGTGATGTGTGCATTCATCTCACAGATTGAACCTTTGTTTTGATTCAGCAGGTTGGAAACTCTTTTTGGAGAATTTGTGAAGAAATATTTGGGAGCTTATTGAGGCCTATGGAAAAACAATTGCTATCTCCAGATAAACACTAGAAAGAAGCTATCAGTGAAACTGCATTGTAATATGTGGATTCACCTCACTGAGTTATACCATTGTTTTGATTCAGCAGGTTGGAGAAACTTTTTTAAAAGAATCTGCGAAGGACCTTTTGAGAGCCTAATGAGGCCTGTGGGGAAAACTTCATATCCCCTGATAAAAACTAGAAAGAAGCTATCTGTGAAACTGCTTTGTAATGTGTGGATTCATCTCATAGAGGTAAACCTTTATTTTGATTGAGCAGGTTAGAACTACACTTTTTGGAGGATCAGTGAGGGGGCATTTTGGAGTCATTGAGGCCTACTGGGAAATAAAAAATATCCCCAGATAAAAATTAGAAAGAAGCTATCTGTGAAACTGCTTTGGATGTGTGGATGGATCTCGCAGAATTATACCTTTTTTTTGATTCATCAGTTTGGAAAAACTTTCTGTAGAATCTATGAAGAAATATTTGTGAGATAATTGAGGCCTATGCTGAAAAAGCAATTATTCCCAGATAAAAACCAAAACCGTAGCTATCTTTTAAACTGCTTTAGGTTGTGTAGATTCATCTCACAGAGTTAAGCCTTTCATTTGATTCAGGAGTTTGGAAACACTGGTTTTGTAGAATCTGTGAAGGGAAACTTGGGAGCTCATTGGGGCCTATAGTGAAATACTGAATATCCCAAGATAGAAACCCACTGTCTGTGAAACTGCTTTGTGATATATGGACTCTTCTCACAGAGTTAAATCTTTCTTATGATTGAGCATGTTGGAAAGAGTCCTTTTGTAGAATCTGCAAAGGGACAATTGGGAGCGTATTGAGGCCTATGGTTGGAAACACTTTTTTTTTGTAGAATATGCAAAGGAACGTTTGCTACCTAATTGAGGCCTACGGTGAAAAAGCAAATAAACCCAGATAAAAACTAGAAAGAACTATCTGTGAAACTGCTTTGTGATGTGTGCATTCATATCACAGAATTAAACCTTTGTTTTCATTCAGCAGTTTGGGAAAACTGTTTTTATAGAATCTGTGAAAGGACATTTGGGAGTGCATTGAGGCCTATGGTGAAAAATTGAATATCCCCAGATAACAACTAGAAGGAAGCTATCAAATAAATTGCTTTGGGATGTGTGGATGGATCTCACAGAATTCAAACTTCCTTTTGATTCAGCAGTTTAGAAACATTTGTTTTGTAGAGTCTGCGAAGGGAAATTTGAGAGCTCATTTAGGCCTGTGGTGAAAAAGTAAATATCCCAGATAAAAACTAAGAAGAGGTTATTTGTAAAACTGCTTTGTGATGTGTGGCTTCATCTCACTGAGTTAAACCTTTCTTTTGATTCAGCAGCCAGGAAAGAGTTGTTTTGTAGACTCTGAGAATGGACAATTGGCAGCACCTTGGGGCCTATGGTGACAAACTGATAGTGTCTGCACATAAAAACTAGAAAGAAGCTATAAAACAACTTTGTGATGTGTGGATTCATCTCTCAGAGTTATAATTTTTTTGTAATTCAGCACTTTGGAGATACTGTTTTTGTAGAATCTGTGAAGGGATATTTGGGAATGCATTGAGGCCTATGGTGACAAAGCAAATATCTCCAGAAAAAAACTAGAAAGAAGGTCTATATGAAACTGTTTTGTGATGTGTAAATTCATCTCTCAAATTTAAAACTCTCTTTTTATTCCTCAGTTTGGAAACGCTGTATTTTGTAGAATCTGCGAAGGGACATTGGGGAGCTCATTGAGGCCTATGGTGAAAATGTGAATATCCCAAGATAAAAACTACAGGGAAGCTTTCTGTGAAACTACTTTGCAATTTGTGGATTCATCTCACAAAGTTGAACCTTTCTTTTGATTCAGCAGTTTGGAAAAACTGTTTTTGTAGAGTCTGCAAAAGGACATTTGGGAGCTCAATGGGGCCTATAGTGAAAAAGCGAATATCCCCAGATAAAAATGAGAACAAAGTTATTTGTGAAACTGCTTTTTGATGTGTGGATTCCTCTCACAGAAGTAAAACTTTCTTTTGATTCAGGAGATTGCAACCGGTCTTTTGGTTTGATCTGCAAAGGGACATTTGGTAGCACATTGAGGCCTATGGTGACAAACCTAATATCCGCAGATAAAAACTAGAAAAAAGATACCTGTGAAACTGCTTCATGATGTGTGGTTTTGACTCAGAGTTAAACATTTATTTTGGTACAGCAGTTTGGAAACACTGTTTTTGTAGAGTCTGTGAAGGGATATTTGGGAGTGCCTTGAGGCCTATGGTGAAAAAGTGAATATCCCCTGGTAAAAACTATAAAGAAGCTCTCTGTGAAACTGCTTTCTGATGTGTAGATTCATCTCACAGAGTTAAAACTTTATGTTGATTCAGCAGTTGGAAACACTGATTTTGTAGAATCTGTGAAGAAACTTTTGGGAGCACATTTTAGGCTTACGGTGAAAAAGAAAATGTCTCCAGATAAAATCTAGAAAGAAGCTATCTGTGAAATTGCTTTGTAGTGTTTTGATTCATTGCAGAGAGTTAAACATTTCTTTGGATTCAGCTGTTTTGAAATACTGTATTTGTAGAATCTGCAAAGGGACCTGTAGGCCTATGGTGAAAAAGGAAATATCCCCACATAAAAACTAGAAAAAAGCTATCTGTGAAACTGCTTTGGGATATGTGGATTCATCTAACAGAGTTAAGCCTTTCCTTTGACTTAGCAGTCTTAAACCACTGTTTTTGTATAATCAGCAGAGTGATATTTTGAAGCTCATTGATGCCTATGGTGAAAAAGGAAATATCCCCATATGAAAATTGAAACTGCTTCATTATGTGTGGATTCATCTCACAGAGTTAAACATTTCTTTTTATACAGCAGTTTTGAAACACTGTTTTTGTAGAATCTGTGAAAGGACATTTGGGAGCACTTCGATGCCAAAGGTGAAAAAGCAAATATCCCTAGATGAAAACTAGAAAGGAGCTGTTTGTGCAACTGCTTTGTGATGTGTGGATTCTTCTCACACATTTAAATCTTTTTTTTCTTATTCAGGAGGTTGCAAGAAGTTTTTTTTTTTTTTTTTTTTTTTTGTAGAATCCGCAAAGGGATATTTTGTAGCCCATTGAGGCATATGGTGATAAACAAAACATTTCCAGATAAAAATTAAAAAGAAGTTACCTGTGAAACTGCTTTGTGATGTGTGGATTCATCTCACTGGGTTATACCTTTCCTTGATTTCAACAGTTTGTAGACACTGTTATTGTAGAATCTGTGAAGGAATCTTTGGGAGGGCATTGAAGCCTGTGGTTTAAAAGCAATTATCCCCAGAAAAAAAAAAAAAAAAACTAGAAAGAAGCATACATGAAACTTCTTTGCGATATTGATTCATCTCAAAGACTTATAACTTTCTTTTGATTCAGCAGTTTGGTAACACTGTTTTTGTAGAATCTGAAAAGGGACATTTGGGAAAGCATTGAGGTCTATGGTGAAACTGTGAATATCCCAAGATAAAAACTAGAAGGAAGCTCTCTGTGAAATTTCTTCATTATGTTTGGATCCATCCCACAGAGTTAAACTTTTCTTTTGATTCAGCAGTTTGGAAACACTGTTTTTGTAGAATCTGGGAACAACATTTGGGAGCTCATTGAGGCCTATGGTGAAAGAGCAAATATCCACGGATAAAAGCTAGAACAAAGTTATTTGTGAAACTGCTTTTTGATGTGTGGATTCAACTCACAAAGTTAAACATTTCTTTTGATTCAGTAGTTTTGAAACACTGTTTTTGTAGAATCTGTGAAGTGACATTTGGGAGCTAATTGAGACCTATGGTGAAAAAACTAATATCCCCAGATAAAAACTAGACAGAAGCTATCTGAGAAACTGCTTTGTGATGTGTGTATTCAGCTCACAGAGTTAAACCTGTCTTTTAATTCAGCAGGTTAAAAACTCTCTTTTTGGAGAATCTGTGAAGGGACATTTGGGAGCCCTTTGGTGCCTATGGGGAAAAACTGAATATCCCCAGATGAAAACAAAAAGAAGCAATCTGTGAAACTGCTTTGTGATGTGTATATTCATCTCACAGAGTTAATCTTTTCTTCTAATGTAGCAGTTTGGAAATACTATTTTTGTAAAACCTCTAAAGGGACTTTTGGGAATACATTGAGGCCTATGGTGAAAAAAATGAATATCTCTAGATAGAAACTAGACAGGATCTATGTGTGAAACTACTTCGTAATGTGTGGATTGAGCTCACAGAGTTATAGTTTTCTTTTGATTCTGGAGCTTGGAAACACTCTTTTTGGAGAATCTAGAAAAGGATATTTACACGTCCATGGAGTCCAATGGGGGAGAACTGAATATCCTCATATAAAAACTAGAAAGAAGGTATCTGTGAAAAGACTTTGTGATGTGTAGATTCAGCTCAAAGAGCTAAACCTTTCTTTTGATTTATCAGGTTGGAAACACTCTTTTTGGAGAATCTGCATAGTGACATTTGGGAAGCAAATGGGTAAAAACGGATTATCCCCAGATAAAAACTAGGAAGAAGACATCTTTGAAACTGCCTTGTGATGTTTCAATTGATCTCAGAAAATTAAACTTTACTGTTGATTCAGTAGCTTGAAAACACTCTTTTTAGAGAATAAGCAAAAGGACTATTGGGCACCCATGTAGGCCATTGGGAGAAAACTGAATATCCCCATATAAAAACTAGAAAGAAGCTATCTGTGAAACTGTTTTGTGATGTATGTATTCATCTCACAGAGTTAAAATTTTCTTCTGATTCAATAGTTGGAAACATTCTTTTTGTAGAATCTGCTTAGGGACATTTCAGAACCCATTGAGGCATACGGGGAAAAACTGAATATCCTCCAGTAAAGACTACCAAGAAGCTCTCTGTGAAACTACTTTGTGATGTGTGGCTTCATCTCACAGATTTCAAACCTTATTTTAATTCACCATGTTGTAAACAATCTTTTTGGAGAATCTGCGAAGGGACATTTTGGAGCCCATAGTGGCCTAAGGGGTAAAACAGAATATTCTCAGATAAAAACTACAAATAAGCTATCTGTGAAACTGCTTTGTGATGTGTGGATTTATCTCACAGAGTTTAACCTTTCTTGTTATTCAGCAAGGTGGGAATAATCTCTTTGGAGAATCTGTGAAGGAACATTTAAGAATTCTTTGAGGCCTATGTGGAAAAACCAAATATCCCCAGATAACAAGAAGCTATCATTGAACTGCTTTTTAATATGTGGATTAAACTCACAGATTTAACCATTTTTTAATTCAGCAGGTTGGAAAACTTCATTTTGGAGAATGTGCGAAGGAACAGTTGGGTGCCAATTGAAGCCTATGGGGAGAATCTGAATATCTTCAGATAAAACTAGAAAGAAGCTATCTGTGAAACTGCTTTGTGATGTGTGGATTCATCTCACATACTTAAATTTTCCTTTTGATTCAGCAGGTTGGAATCACTATTTTTGTACAATCTGCGAAGAGAAATTTGGCAGCCCATTTAGGCTTATGGAAAAAAACAAATATCCCTAGATAAAAACTATAAAGAATCTCCCAGTGAAGCTGCTTTGTGATGGTTGGATTCATATCACAGAGTTAAACTTTTATTTGGATCCAGCAGTTTGGAAGCACTGTTTTTGTAGAATCTGTGCAGGAACATTTGGGAACCTATTGAGGCCTATCAGGAAAAACTGAATATCCCCCAGATAAAAACTACAAACAAAGTATCTGAGAAAGCCCTTTGTGGTGTGTGGATCCTTCTCACACAGTTATATAATTCAGTTGATACATCAGGTTTGAAGCACTCTTTTCCTAGGATCATCGGAGGGATATTTGGAATCCCATTGAGGCCTATGGGGAAAAACGAAATATCCTCAGATAAAACTAGAAAGAAGCTATCTGTGAAAATGTCTTGTGATCTGTGGATTCGTCTCACAGAGTTTAACCTATCAGCTATTCAGCAGGTTGGACACACTCTTTTTGGATAATCTGTGAAGGGACATTTGGGAGCCCTTTGAGGTCTATGGGAAAAACCAAATATCCTGAGATTAAAACTAAAAAGAAGCTATCTGTGAAACTGCTTTGTGATGTGTGGATTCATCTCACAGAGTTAAAACTTTCACTTGATTCAAAAGGTTAGAAACACTGTTTTTAGTGTATTTGCACAGGGACAGTTAGGAGCCCATTGAGGCCTATGGGGAAAAGCTGAATATCCCCCAATAAAAACTAGAAAGAAGCTATCTGTGAAACTGCTTTGTGATGTGTGGAGTCATCTCACAGAGTTAATTTTTTTTTTAATTCTGCAGATTGGAAACACCCTTTTTAGAGAATATGTGAATGGAAATTTGAGAGTCCATTGAGACCTGAGGGGAAAAACCAAATATACCCAGATAAAAATTAGAAAGAAGCTATCATCTGTAACTGCTTTGTTATGTGTGGATTCTTCTCACAGAGAGAAGCCATTCTTTTGATTCAGCAGGTTGGAAAGACTGCGAATCTTTCCAACTGCAGGTTGGAGAATCTGCAAAGGGACATTTAAGAGCCCATTGAGGCCTATGTGGAATTACTGAATGCCCTAGATAGATTCTGGAAAGAAGCTACCTGTTAAACTGTGTTGTGATGTGAAGGCTAATACCACATATTTAGACTTTTTTTGACTCAGCAGGTTTGAAACACTCTTTTTGTTGAATCTGTGATGGGACACTTTGTTGGACCTCATTGTGGTCTAGGAGGAAAAACTGAATTTCCCTAGATAAAAACTAGAAAGAAGGCGTCTGTTAACTGCTTTGTGATGTGTGGATTCAGCTCACATATTTAAACTTTTCTTTTGATTCAGCAGGTTGAAAATATTTGTTTGGAGAATCTGTGAAGGGATATTCCTTAGCCCTTTGAGACCTATGGGGAAAAATAGAATATCCCCAGAAAAAAATTTGGAAGAAGGTATCTGACAAACTTCTTTGTGATGTGTTGATTCATCTCACAGTGTTAAACCTTCCTTTTGATTCCATAGGTTGGAAATTCTCTTTTTGTAGACTCTGCAAAGGGACATTTGGAAGCCCATTGAAGACCATGGGGAAAAAGAGAATATTTACAGATAAAAACTAAATAGAAGGTATCTGTTAACTGCATTGGGCTGGCTGGATTCATCTCTCAGAGTTAAAGCTTTCTTTTCAATCAGCAGTTTGGAACCACTCTTTTTGGATAATATGTGAAGGGAGATTTTGGAGCCCTTTCAGGCCTTTGGGGAAAAACCGAATATCCCAAGATGAAAACTTGGTAGAAGCTATCTGTGAAACAGCTTTGTGATGTGTGCACTCATCTCACACAGATAAACCTTTCTTTTGATTCAGTAGGTTGGAAGCATTCATTTTGAAGATCTGCTAAGGGACAATTGGGAGTTCATTGAGGCCTATGGGGAAAAACTGAATATCCCCAGAAGAAAATTAGAAAGAAGTTGTCTGTGAAACTTCTTTGACATGTGTGGAGTCATATCACAGAGTTAAACCTTTCTTTTGATTCAGCAGGTTGGAAAAACTCTCTTTGGAGAATCTGCATGGGGATATTTGGGAGCCTATTGAGGCATATGGGACAAAACCAAATATACCCAAATAACAACAAGAAAGAAGCTGTCTGTGAAACTGCTTTGTGATGTGTGGATTCATCTCATAGATTTAAAGCCTTCTTTTGATTCAGCAGTTTGGAAGCACCTTATTTGGAGAATATGAGAGGGGACATTTGGGAGCCCATTGAGGCCTATGATGAAAAAGGGAGTATTCCCAGACAGAAACTAGAAGGAAGCAATCTGTGAAACTTCTTTGTGATGTGTGGATTCATTTCACAGAGTTAAACTTTTCTTTTGATTCAGCAATTTGGAAACACAGTTTTTGGAAAATCTGCCAAGGGCCATTTGGCATTTCTTTCATGAAAAAGGGAAAAACCGAATATCCCTAGAGAAAAAAACTAGAAAGAAGCTATCTGTGAAACTATTCTCAGAGTTAAACCTTTCTTTTGATTCAGCAGGTTGGAAACACTATAACTGGAGTTCTGATAAGGGACATTTGGAAGCCACTGTGGCCTATGGAGAAAAACTGAATATCCCCAGATAAAAACTAAAAGGAATCTGTCCATGAAATTGCTTTCTCATGTGTGGATTCATCTTTTTATTTATTATTATCATTTTTTTGAGATGGAGTCTCTCTCCATCACCCAGGCTTGAGTGCAGTGGTGTGATCATAGCTCACTGCAAGCTCTGCCTCTTGGGATCATGTCATTCTCCTGCCTCAGCCTCCTGATTAGTTGGGACTAGAGGCACCCACCACCATGCCTGGCTAATCATTTTTTGTATTTTTAGTAGAAACGGGGTTTCACCGTGTTATCCAGGATGGGGTCGATCTCCTGATCTTGTGATCCACCAGCCTCAGGCTCCCAAAGTTCTGGGATTACGGGTGTGAGCCACCATGCCCAGACGTGTGTGGATTAATCTTACAGAGCTAAATGTGTCTTTTGAATGAGCAGGTTGGAAACATTGTTTTTGGATAATCTATGAGGTGACACTTTGCTCCCCTTTGAGGCCTGTAAGGAAAATTGATTATCCCTAGATAAAAACTAGGAAGAAGCTATGTGTGAAACTGCTTTGTGATGTGTGGATTCATCTCAGAGAATTAAACCTTTTTTTTTTGATTCAGCAGATTGGAAGCACCATTTTTGGAGAATCTGCAAAGGTGATTTTGAAAGCCCATTGATGCCTATGTGAAAAAAATATCCCCAGATAAAAACGAGAAAGAAGGTATTTGTGAAGCAGCTTTGTGATGTGTGAATACATCTCACACAGTTAAAGTTTTTTTCCTTAAGCATTGTGGAAAAACTCGTTTTTGAAAGTCTAGGAAGAGCTATTTGGGCACCCATTGAGACCTATGGAGAAAAACCAAACATCTCAAGACAAAAAGTAGAAAGAAGTTATCTGTCAAACTGCTTTGTGATATGTGGATTCATCTCACAGTTTTAAAACTTTCTTTTGATTCAACAGATTGGAAATACTCTTTGTGCAGAAACTGCAAAGGGATATTGGGGAGCCAATTGTGGCCTGTGGGGGAAAAAATGTCCTCTGATAAAAATTAGAAAGTAGCTACCTGTGAAACTGCCTTGTGTTATGTGGATTCATCTCCCAAAGTTGAACATTTCTTTTGATTCAGCAGGTTTTAAACACTCTTTTTGGAGAATCTGTGAAGGCACATTTTGTAGCCCATTGCAGCCTATGGGGAAAAATGGAATATCCTGAGATAAAAACTAGAAAGAAGCTATTTGTGAAACTGCTCTCTACTGTGTGGATTCACCTCTCAGGGTTAAACTTTTCTTTTGATTCAGCAGATTTTAAATACTATGTTTTTAGAATCTGTGAAGGGACTTTTTGGAGCCCTTTGAGGCCTAAAAAGAAGAACTGAATATCCCCTGATAAAACTGGAAAGAAGCTACTTGGGAAACTGCTTTGTGATGTGAGGATTCATGGCATAAAATTAAATCTCCCTTTTGATTCCATAGGTTGGAAACACTCTTTTCAGAGAATCTGTAGAGGGATAATGAGGAGCCATTTGAGGCCAATGGAAAAAAAAAACAAATATTCCCCCAACCCCCACCCGATAGCTTCTGTCTAACTTTTATCTGGTGATATTCAGTTTTTACCCATGGGCTTCAATGAGATCCAATATGTCCCTTGGCAGACTTTCCAAACAGAGTGTTTCCAACCTGCTGAATCAAAAGAAATGTTTAATTCTTTGAGAAGAATCAAAATATCACAAAGAAGATGCACAGATAGCTTCTTTCCAGTTTTTATCTGGGGATATTCAGTTTTCCCCATAGGCCTCAATGGGCTCCAAAATGCCCCTTCATATATTCTCCAAAGAACTATTTCCAAACTGCTGAATCAAAAGAAACTTGGACTCTGTGAGATGAATCCACACACCACAAACATTGTCATGGATGGATATTTCCTAGTCTTTATCAGGGAATATTCACTTTTTTTCCATATGCCTCAATGTGCTCCCAAATGTCCCTTTGCAGATTCTCCAAAAAAGTGTTTTCAACCTGCTGAATCAAACGAAAAATTTAATTCTGTGAGATGAATCCACACATCAGAAAGAAGTTTCAAAAATTGTTTCTTTCTAATTTTAATCTCAAGATATTCTGTATTTCCCCATATCCCTCAATTGACTTTCAAATGTCCCTTTGCAGATTTTCCAAAGATAGTGTATCCAACCTGCTGAATCAAAAGAGGGATAATTTTATTAGATGGATCCACACATCACAAAGCAGTTTCACAGATAGCTTCTTACTGGTTTTTTATCTGGGGATATTTGCTTTTTCCCAATAGGCCTCAATGGGCTCCCAAACGACCATTTGCAGATTCTTTAAAATGAGTGTTTTATTCCTACTGAATCAAACAAAATCTTAACATCTGTGTCATGAATACACACATCACAAATGAGTTTCTCAGATAAATTGTTTCCAGTTTTTATCTGGGGATATTCGGTTTTTCTCCATAGTCCCAATGGGCTCCCAAATGTCCCTCTGCAGATTGTACATAAAGAGTGTTTCCAACCAGCAGAATCAAAAGAAACTTTTATCTCTGCAAGATGAATGCACACGTCACAAGGCAGCTTCAGAGATAGCTTCTTTCTAGTTTTTATGTGGGGATATTCTGTTTTTTTCCCATTGGCCTCAATGGGCTCCCAAATGTCCCTTCAAAGATTCTACAAAAGGAGTCTTTCCAACCTGAGAATCAAAAGAAAGGCTTAACTCTCTGAGATGAATCTGCACTTCACAAAGCAATTTCACAGATATATTCTTTTTAGTTTTTGTCTGAGGTTATTCAGGTTTTCCCCCTAGGCCTCAATGGGCTCCCAATTGTCCCTTCACAGATACTCCAAAAAGAGTGTTTACAATGTTCTGAATGAAAAGAAAGGTTTAATTCTCTGAGATGAATGCACATATTACAAAGCATTTTCTCAGATAGCTTCCTTCTAGTTTTTATCCACAGTTATTCACTTTTTCACCATTGGCCTCAAGGACCTCCCAACTGTCCATTAGCAGAATGGACAAAAACTGTTTCAAAACAGCTGAAACAAAAGAAAGGTTTAACTCTGTGAGATGAACATACACATCACAAAGCAGTTTCTCAGAAAGCTTCTTTCTAGTTTTTATCTGAAGATATTTTCTTTTTCATCATATGCCTCAATGCACTCCCAAATGTCCCTTCACAGATTCTACAAAAACAGTGTTTCCAAACTGCTGACTAAAAATGAAGGTTTACCTATGTGGGTTGAATGCACACATATCAAAGCAGTTTCTCAGAAAGCTTCTTTCTAGTTTTTATTGGAAGATATTTTCTTTATGACTATAGACCTCAATGCACTCCCAAATGTCCTATTGCAGAACGGACAAAAACAGTGTTTCCAAACTGCTGAACCAAAAGAAAGGTTTAACTCTGCAAGATGAATGCACACATCACAAAGTGGCTTCTCAGATAGCATCCTTCTGGTTTATATCTCAGGATTTTCTCTTTTTCGCCATTGGCCTCAATGACCTCCCAAATATTCCTTCAGAGATTCTACAATATCAGTGTTTCCAAACGGTTGAGTGAAATGAAACGTTTCATTCTGCTAGATGAATGCACACATCACAAAGCGGTTTCTCAAATAGCATAATTCTAGTTTTTATCCTGGGGTATTCACTTTTTCAGCATTGGCCTCGATGAGCTTCAAAATGTCGATACCCACAGTGGACAAAAACAGTTTTACCAAATTTCTGAATCAAAAGAAAGATTTAATCTTGTGAGATAAATACACACATCACAAAGCGGTTTCTCAGAAATCTTCTTTCTAGTTTTTATCTGAAGGTAATTTCTTTTTCAACATAGGCTTCCATATGCTCCCAAATATCCCTTTGCAGATTCTATAAAAAAAGTGTTTCCAACCTTTGAATAAAAAGAAAGGTTTAATTCTGTGAGATGAATGCACACATATCAAAGCAGTTTCTCAGGTAGCTTCCTTCTACTTTTTATCCTGGAATATTCCCTTCTTCACCATTTGCCTCAAAGAGCTCCTAAATGTCCGTTCACAGAATGGACAAAAACAGTGTTTCCCAAACTGCTGAATCTAAAGAAAGGTTTAACTCTGTGAGATAAATGCACACATCACAAAACTGTTTCTCAGAAAGCTTCTTTCTAGATTTACCAGAAGATATTTACTTTTTCATCGTAGCCTCAACATTCTCCCAAATATCCCTTTGCAAATTCTACAAAAACAGTGTTTCCAAACTGCTGAATCTAAAGAAAGGCTTAATTATGTGAGTTGAATGCACAAGTCAGAAACCAGTTTCTCATAAAGATTCTTTCTAGTTTTATCACAAGACATTTTCTATGTCACCATATTACTCAAAGCTCTCCCAAATGTTCATGCACAGAATGTACAAAAACACTATTTCCAAACTGTTGAATGAAAAGAAATGTTTATCTCTGTGAGATGAATGCACACATCACAAAGTGGTTTCTCAGATAGCTTTCTTCTAGTTTTTATCTTGGTATTTTCGCTTTTTCACAATTGGCCTCAATTTGCTCCCAGATGTCCATTATCAGAAAGGATAAAAACAGAGTGTCCAAACTGCTGAATCAAAGGACAGGTTTAACTCCATGAGATGAATGTGCACATCACAAAGCAGTTTATCAGAAAACTTCTTTTTAGTTTTTTTCAGAAGATATTTCCTTTTTCACCACAGGCCTCAATGCACTCCCAAATGACCTTTCACAGAATGGTCAAAAACAGTCTTTCCAAACTACTGAATCAAAAGAACTGTTTAACTCTGTGAGACAAATGCACACATCACTAAGCAGTTTCTTGGAAAGCTTATTTCTAGTTTTTATCCGAATATATTTTTTCACCATAGGCCTTATTTGGCTTCCAAATATCCCTTTACAGATTCTCCAAAAAGAGTGTTTCCAACCTGTTGAATCAAAAGAAATGTTTTCCTCTGTGAAATGAATCCACACATCAGACAGCAGTTTCACAGAAAACTTCTTTCTAGTTTTTATATGGGCATATTCAGTTATTTCCCATAGGCCATGATGGGCTTTCAATTTTCCCTTTGCACATTCTCCAAAGGGGAGTGTTCCCAAAATGTTGAAACAAAAGAAAAGCTTAAGTCTGTGAGATGAATCCACAGATTATAAAGCTGTTTCAGTAATAGCTCTTTTCTATTTTTTTATCTGAAGATATTTGGTTTTGATTTATAGGCCTCAATGGGCTTTCAGTTGTCCCTTCACAGATTCTACAGAAAGAGTGTTTCCAACACATTCAATCAACAGAAAGGTGCAATTCTGTGAGATTAATCCACACATCACGGAGCATATCCACAGATAGCTTCTTTCTATTTTTATCTTGTGGTATTGTGTTTTTCCCCATAGGCCTCAATGTGCTCCAAAATTTCCCTTCGTAGATCCTCCAAAGAGACTATTTCCCACCTGCTGAATCAACAGAAATGTTTAACTCTGTGAGATGAATCCATGCATTACAACACAGTTTCACCAACTGATCCTTTCTAGTTTTTCTCTGGGGATTTTCAGTTTTTCCCCATAGGCCTCGATGGGCTCTAAAATGTCAGTTCACAGATTCTCCAAAAAAAGTGTTTAGAACCTTCCAAATGAAAAGAAAGGTTTAATTCTGTGAGATGAATCCACTCACCACAAAGCAGTTTTAAAGATAGTTTCTTTCTTGTTTTCATCTAATGATATTTTTTCTTTCCCCATAGGCCTCAATGGGCTTATTAATATCCCTTTACAGATTATCAAAAAAAAGTTTTGCCAACCTACTGAATCAAAAGAGTGGTTTAACTCTGTTAGAAGAATCCACAAATCACAAAACGGTTTCACAGATAGCTTCTTTCTTGCTCTTATCTGGGGATATTCAGTTTTTCCCGTAGGACTCAATAGGCTCCCAAATATCTCTTCGTAGATTCTCCAAAAAGAGTGTTTCCAAACTGCTGTGTCAAAAGAAAGTTTTAAAAATTTTAGATGAATCCACACATCACAAAGCGGTTTCGCAGATAGATTCTTTCTATTTTTTATCTGGGGATATTCCGTTTTTCCCATAGGACTCAATGGGCTCTGAAATGTCCCTTCACAGATTCATAAACCAGAGTGTTTTCAACGTGCTGAATCAAAAAAAAAAAAAAAAGTTTAACTCTGTGAGATGAATCCACACATCACAAAGGAGTTTCACCAATAGATTCTTTCTAACTTTTTTCTGGGTATATTCCGTTTTCATCTTTTGGCCTGAGTTAGCTCCCAAATGTACCATCATAGATTCTCCAAAATTGTGTTTCCAACATGCTGTATCAAAAGAAAAGCTTATCTCTGTGAGATGAATCCACACATCATAAAGCAGTTTCACAGGTAGCTTTTTTCTAGTTTTTATCTGACTATATTCAGTTTTTAAACATAGCCCTCAATGCTCTCCCATATGTCTCTTCACAGATTCTCCAAAACAAGTGTTCTTACCTGCTGAATCAAAACAAAAGTATAACTCTATAAGATGAATCCATACCTCTTAAGGCAAGTTCACAGATAGGTTCTGTCTAGTTTTTAATTCTAGATATTCTGGTTTTTCCCATAGACCTCAATAAGCTCCAAAATGTCCCTTCACAGATTATCTAAAAAGAGTGTTTCCAGACTGCTTCATCAAAACAAAGGTTTTTCTGTATGAGATGAATTCACACATCACAAAGCAGTTTCACAGAAAGATTCTTTCTAGTTTTTATATGGGCATAATCTGTTTTTCCCCATATTCCCCCATGGTCTCCTAAATGTCCCTTGGCATATTCTACAAGAAGAGTGTTTCCAACCTGTTGAATTAAAAGAAAGGTTTACCTCTGTGAGATAAATCCAACATCACTAAGCAGTTTCACAGGTAGCATCTTTCTAGTTTTTATCTTGGCATATTCTGTTTTTCCCCATAGCCCTGAATGGGCTCCAAAGTGTCCATTCACAGATTCTCCAATTAGAGTGTTTCCAATCTGCTGAATCAAAAGAAAGGTTTAACTCTGTGAGATGAATTGACAAATCACAAGGGAGGTAAACAGATAGCGTTTTTGTAGTTTTTATATGGGGATATTCAGGTTTTTCACATAGCCCTCAATTGGCTCTCAAATGTCCTTTTGCAGATTCTCCAAAAAGAGTTTTTCCAACCTGCTGAATCAAAAGAAAGGCTTAACACTTTGAGATGAATCCAAACGTCACAAAGCAGTTTCACAGATGGCTTGTTTATATTTTTTTGTGGGGATATTCTTTTTATCCCCATAAGCCTCAATGAGCTCACAAATGTCCATTCAAAGATTCTACAAAAAGAGTGTTTCCAACCTGCTAAATCAAAATAAAGTTTTAACTTGCTGAGATGAATCCAGACATTGCAAAGCAGTATCACAGATAGATCATTTCCAGTTTTTATCTGGGATATCCAATTTTACCCCTAGGCCTCAATGGGCTCCAAAATTTCCCTTTGCAGGTTCTTAAAAAAAAAATCAGAAAAACCGAATATTTGCAGATAAAAGCTAGAAAGAAGCTATTTGTGAAAATGCTTTGTGATATGTGGATTCATCTCACAGAATTAAACTTTATTTGATTCAACAGGTTGGAAACATTCTTTATGGTGAAACTGTGAAGAAATATTTTGGAGTCCATTAATACTTAAGGAGAAAAATTGAATATTTTCAGACAAAAACTAGAAAGAAGCTATCTGTGAAACTGCTTTGTGTCTCGTGGATTCATCTCAGAGTTAAAATTTTGTTTAGATTCAGCAAGTTGGAAACACTCTCGTTGGAGAATCTGTGAAGGGACATTTGTAGCCCACTGAGGCCTTTGGGGAAAAACAGAATATCCCCAGATAAAAGGTAGAAAGAACCTATCTTGAAAGCAGCTTTGTGAAGTGTGGATTCATCTCACAGAGTTACACCTTTCTTTTGATTCAGCAGGTTGGAATCACTCTTTTTGGAGAATCTGCGAGGGGACATTTTGGAGTGCACTGAGGCCTATGGGGAAAAACCAAATATACCCAGGTAAAAATTAGAAAAAAACTATCTGTGAAAGTAGTTTGGGTTGTGTGGGTTCATCTTACAGATGAACCATCATCTTAAGATGAATCATCTTACAGATGATTCAGCAAGTTGGAAACACTCTTTTTGTAGAATCTGCTAAGGCAAATTCCAGAGCACTTTGAGGCTTGGTAGGAAAACCGAATATGCCCAGATAAAAACTAGAAAGAAGGTATCTGTGACACTGCTTTTTGTTGTGTGGATTCATTTCACAACATTCAACTTTTCTTTTGATTCAGCAGATTGGAAACACTCTTTTCAGATAATCTGCCAAGGGACATTTGGGAGTCCATCGAGGGCTATGGGGAATACAGAATAACCCCAGATATAAACTAGAAAGGAGCTATCTGTGAAACTGCTTTGGAATGTACGGATTCACTGCATAGAGTTAAACCTATTTTTTTGTTCATCAAGTGGGAAACACTCTATTTGGAAAATCTGCATTGGAACATTTGGAAGCTTATTGAGGCCTATGGGGAAAACAAAATATCCCCATATGAAAACTAGGAAGAAGCTATTTGTGAAACTGCTTTGTGATGTGTGCATTCATCTCAAAGAATTAAAACTTTTTCTTGATTCAGCAGGTTGAAAACACTTTTTGGAGAATCTGTGAAGGGACATCTCAGAAGCCATAGAGGCCCATTGGGAAAAACTGAATATCCCCAGATTAATACGAGAAAAAAGTTATCTGTGAAACTTCTTTGGGATGTGTGGATTCATCTCACAGAGTTAAGCCTTTCTTTTGAATCAGCAGGTTGGAAACACTCTTTTCAGAGAATCTGTGGAGGGACATTTGGGAGCCATTTGAGGCCTATGGGGAGCAACTGAATATCCCCAGATAAAAACTAGAAAGAAGCTATCTGTGAAACTGCTTTCTGATGTGTGGATTCATTTCACCAAGTTAAAATATTCTTTTGACTCAGCAGGTCGGAAATATTCCCTTTGGATAATCAGGTGAAGGGATATTTGGGTGCTTATTGAGGTCTATGAGAAAAAAACAGAATATCCTCTGATGGAAACTAGAAAGAAGTTATCTGGGAAACTTCTTTGTGATGTGTGGATTGGTCTCACAGAGTTAAACATTTTTTCTGATTCAGCAGATTGGAAAGACATTTTTGTAGAATCTGCAAAAAGATATTTGGGAGATCATTGAGGACCAAGGAAAAAACAGAGTATCCTTAGTAACTAGAAAGATGCTAATGTGACAGTGCTTTGTGATGTGTCACTTTATCTTACAGAGTTATACTTTTCTCTTGATTCAGCCGTTTGGAAAAACTCTGATTGTAGAACCTGTGGAAAAAAAAAACACTGGGGAGTCCACTGAGGCTTCCAGATAAAAACCGAATTTCCCTAGGAAATAAACTACAAAGAAGCTGTCTGTGAAACTGCTTTTTGATGTGTGGATTCACCTCACAGAGTTAAGCCTGCCTCTTGATTCAGCAGGTTGCAAACATACTTTTTGTAGAATATACAAAAAGAATTTGGGGGCCCATTGAGGACTATGGGAAAAAATGGAATATCCCCAGATAGTGACTAGAAAGAAGGTATCTGTGAAACTGCTTCGTGATGGGAAGATTCATCTCACAGAGTTAAATCTTTCTTTTGGTTCAGCAGGCTGGAAACACTCTTTATGGACAATCTGCGAAGAGACAATTGGTAGCCCATTGAGATCTATGGGGAAAAATGAATATCCCCAGATAAAAACCAGAGAGAAGCTATCTGTGAGACTGCTTTGAAATGTGAGGAGTCATCTCACAGAATTAAACCCTACTTTTCATTCAGCAGGTTGGAGACACTCTTTTTGGAGGATAGGTTAAGGGACATTTGGGAACCCTTTGAGACCTATGGAGAAAAACAGAATATCCCCAGATAAAAACTAGAGAGAGGCTATCTGTGAAAGTGCTTTGTGATGCACGGATTCATTTCATGGAGGTAAGCCATTCTTTCAATTCAGCTGGCTAGAAGTTCCCTTTTTGGAGAATCCATAAATGGACATTTGGGAGCCCATTGAAACCTATGGGGAAAATCAAATATCCCTACATAAAAACTAGAAAGAAGGTATCACTGAAGCTGCTTTGTGATGTGTGGATCTATGTCACAGAGATAAAGCTTTCTTTTGATTCAACAGGTTGGAAGCACTCCTTTTCAAGGATCTCCGAAGGGATATTTGCAAGCCTCTTAAGGCCTGTGGAAAAAAACAGAATATCTCCAGATAGAAACTAGAAAGGAGCTATCTGTGAAACTGCTTTGTGATATGTGGATTTATCTCACATTGTTAAACTTTTATTTTGATTCAGGAAGTTAGAAACACTTTTTTTTGGAGAATGTCCAAAAAGACATTTGGAAGCCCATTGAGGCCTAGAGGCAAAACTGAACATCCCCACATAAAAATTAGAAAGAAGCTATCTGTGAAACTGCTTTGTGATGTGTAGATTCATCTCACAGAGTTAAATATTTCTTTTGATTCGACAGGTTTAAACACCCTTTTTGGAGCATCTACTAGGGGCCATGTGGGAGACCATTGAGGCCAAATGAAAAACATCAAATATACACAGAAAAAACTAGACAGAAGCTATCTGTGAAACTGCTTTTTGATATGTGCATTTATATCGTATATTTAAACATTTTTTATTTAGCTGGTTGGAAACAGTATTTTTGATAATCTGTGAAGGGATATTTTGGAGTCCTTTGTGACTTATGGGGAAAAACTGACTATACCTATATTAAAAACTAGAAAGAATCAATCTGAGAAACTGCTTCATGTTGTGTGGATTAATCTCACAGAATTAAAACTTTCTTTTCATTCAGTTTCCAAAAAGTTGGAAACACTTTTTGGAACAGCTGCAAAGGTACATTTGGGAGTTTGTGGAGGTCTATGGGAAAAACAGAATATCCCTAGATAAAAACTAGAAAGAAGATAACTGTAAAACTGCTTTTTAATGTCTGGATTCATCTCACATAGTTAAACTTTCCTTTGATTTAACAGGTTGGGAACACTTTTTTTTGTAGAATCAGCAAAAGGAAATTTGGGAGCACATTGAGGCCTGTGGGGCAAAACTGAATAGACCCAGATAAAAAATAGAAAGAAGGAATCTGTGAATCTGCAAATCAGTTTGTGATGTGTGCATTCTTCTCACAGAGTTAAACTTTTCTTTTTATTTGGCAGGTTGGAAACACTTTTTATGTAGAATCTGTTAAGGGACATTTGGGAGCCCATTGAGGCTTAAGGGGAAAAACAAATATCTCCAGATAGAAAGAAGCTATCTTTGAAACTGCTTTGTGATTTTGGGATTCATCTCATGGAGTTAAACTGTTCTTTTGATTCAGCAGGATGGAAACACTCACTTTGGAAAATCTGTGAAGGAAAATTGAAAAGCCTTTTGAGGCCTATGGAAAAATAAATATCCCCAGAAAAAACTAGAAAGAAGCAATCTGTGAAGCTGCGTTGAGATGTGCTGCTCATCTCACAAAATTAAAGTTTTCTTTTCATTCAGTAGGCTGGAGTTACTCTAATTGAGGAAATATTCAATGGACATTTGGGAGTCCATTGTGGCTTAGGGGAAAAACCAAATATCGCCAGATAAACAGTAGAAAGAAGCTATCTGTAAAATTCCTTTGTTAGGTGGGCATTCATCTCACAGATTTAAAACTCTTTTATGGAATCAGCAGGTGAAAAATTTTTTTTTGCAGAAACTGTGAAGAGATATTTGAGAGCCCATTGAGGCCTATGTGGAAAAATCATATTTCCCCAGATAAAAACTTGAAAGAAGCTACCTGTGAAATTTCTTTGTGATGTGTGGATTCATTAAACAGAATTAAACCTTTCTTTTTATTCAGCAGGTGTGAAACACACTTTTTGTAGAATCTGAGAAGGGACATTTGGGAACCCACTGAGACCTATGAGGCAAAATGAAATATCCCTAGATAAATACAAGAAAGAAACTAAGAGTGAAACTGCTTTGTGGTTTCTGGATTCATCTCATAACGTTAAACCTGTCTTTTGATTCAGCAGGTTGGAAACAGTATTTGGAGAAACTGTGAAGAGACATTTGGGAGCCCATTGAAGCCTATGAGGAAAAACCAAATATACTTACATTAAAACTAGGAAGAAGATATCTGTGAAACTGCTCTGTGATGTGTTGATTCATCTCACAGAGTTATAACTTTCTTTTAATTCAACAGCTTGGAAACACTGTTTTTGGAGGATCTGTGAACAAATATTGGGGATTCCATTGAGGCCTATAGGAAAAATCTGAATATCCCTAGATAAAAATTAGAAAGAAGCTATACATGAAACTGATTTGGGGTGTACGGATTAATCTCATAGCGTTAAAGCTTTCTTTTGATTCAGTAGGTTGGGAAAACTCTTTTCAAAGAATATATAGAGGGACATTTGGGAGCCAAATGTGGCCTACTGGGAAAAACTGAATATCCACAGATAAAAACTAGAAAGAAGCCCTCCCTGAAAATGTTTGGGTTATGTGGATTCATCTTACAAATTTAAACCTTTCTTTTGATTCAGCAGGTTGGAAAACATTTTTTGGAGATTCTGCAAAGGGACATTTTGAAGCTCATTGAAGCCTGGGGCAAAATTGATTATCCCAAGATAAAAAATAGAAAGAAGCTATCTGTGAAACTGCTTTGTAATGTCGGGATTCACCTAAGAGAGTTAAAACTCTCTTTTGTGTCAGCAGATTGGATAGACCCTTTCTGTGGAATCTGCAAAGGGACATTTGGAGCCCTTGGAGGCCAACGGGAAAAAACAGAACATCCCCAAATAAAAAGTATAAAGAAGCTATCTGTGAAACTGTGTTGTAATGGGTACATTCATATCAAAGAGTTAAAACTTTCTTTTGATTCAACAGTTTTGAAAAACTCTTTTTGCAGAAACTGCAAGTGGAAATTTGCACCTCTTTGAGGCCTTCGTTGGAAACGGAATTTCTTCATATAATGCTAGACAGAAGAAATCTCAGTAACTTCTTTGTGTTGTGTCTACTCAACTCCCAGAGTTGAACCTTTCTTTAGACAGAGCAGATTTGAAACACTCTTTTTGCGGAATTTTCAGGTGGAGGTATCAAGCGCTTTGAAGCCAGTGGTAGAAAAGGAAATATCTTCATATAAAAACTAGACAGAATCATTCTCAGAAAATACTTTGTGATGTGTGCGTTCAACTCACAGAGTTTAACCTTTCTCTTCATAGAGCAGTTGGGAAACACTCTGTTTGTAAAGTCTGCAAGTGGATATTTGGACCTCTTTGAGGCCTTCGTTGGAAACGGGAACTCTTCATACAAAACTAGACAGAAGAATTCTGAGAAACTTCTTTGTGATGTGTGCATTCAACTCACAGAGTTGCACCTTACTTTCGAGAGAGCAGTTTTCAAACATTCTTTTGGTAGAACTTTCAAGTGCATACTTAGAGTGCTTTGAAGCCAATGGTAGACAATGAAATATCTTCACGCAAAAACTAGACAGAATCATTCTCAGAAACCACGTTGTGATCTGTGCGTTCAACTCACAGAGTTTCACCTTTCTTTCCATAGAGCAGTTTTGAAACACACTGTTTGGAGAATTTGCAAGGGTGTATTTAGAGGACTTTGAGGACTATGGTAGAAAAGGATATATCTTACCATAAAAACTAGACAGAAGCATTTTGAGAAAATAACTTGTGATGTTTGCATTCAACTCACAGAGTTCAACTTTCCTTTTGAAAGAGCGGTTTTGAAACATCCTTTTTGCAGAATCTGCAAGTGGTTATATGGACCTCTTTGAGGCCTTCGTTGGAAAAGGGAATTCTTCATATGATGCTAGACAGAATAATTCTCAGGAAATTCTTTGTTTGTGTGTATTCAGCTACAAGAGTTGAAACTTCCTTTAGACAGAGCAGATTTGAAACACACTTTTTGTGGAATTTTCAGGTGGAGATTTCAAGCGCTTTGAGGCCAATGGTAGAAAAGGTAATATCTTATTTAAAACCTAGACAGAATCATTCTCAGAGACTAATTTGTGATGTGTGCATTCAACTCACAGAGTTTAACCTTTCTTTTCATAGAGCAGTTTGGAAACACTCTGTTTGTAAGTCTGCAAGTGGATATTTGGACCTCTGTGTGGCCTTCGTTGGAAACGGGATTTCTTCATATAATGCTAGACAGAAGAATTCTCAGTAACTTCTTTGTGTTGTGTGTATTCAAGTCACAGAGTTGAACCTTCCTTTAGACAGAGCAGATTTGAAACAATCTTTTTGTGGTATTTGCAATAGAAGATTTCAAGCACTTTGTGGCCAATGGTAGAAAAGGAAATATCTTTGTATAAAAACTAGACAGAATCATTCTCAGAAATTTCTTTGTGATGTCTGCATTCAAACTCACAGAGTTTAAACTTTTCTTTCATAGAGCAGTTTGGAAAAAGTCTGCAAAGTCTGCAAGTGGATATTTGGAACTCTTTGTGGCCTTCGTTGGAAACGGGATTTCTTCATATAATGCTAGACAGTAGAATTCTCAGTAACTTCTTTGTGTTGTGTGTATTCAACACACAGAGATGAATCTTCCATAAGACAGAGCACATTTGAAACACTCTTTTTGTGGAATTTGCAAGTGGAGATTTCAAGCGATTTGAGGACAATCATACAAAAGGAAATATCTTCAAATACAAACTAGACAGAATCATTCCCAGAAAGTACTTTGTGATGTCTGCACTCAACTCACTGAGTTTAACCTCTCTTTTCATAGAGCAGTTTGGAAACACTATGTTAGTAAAGTCTGCAAGTGGATATTTGGACCTCTTTGAGGCCTTCTTTGGAAACGGGATTTCTTCATATAATACTAGACATAAGAAATGTCACTAACTTCTTTTTGTTGTGTATATTCAACTCACAAAGTTGAACCTTGCTTTAGACAGATCAGAATTGAAACACTCTTTTTGTGGAATTTGACAGTGGAGATTTCAAGCGCTTTGAGGCCAGTGGTAGAGAAGGAGATACCTTCTTATGAAAACTAGACAGAACCATTCTCAGGAACTACTCTGTGAAGTGTGCCTTCAACTCACAGAGTTTAAACTTTCTTTTCATAGAGAAGTATGGAAACACTCTGTTTGTAAAGACTGCAAGGGGATATTTGGAACTCTTTGAGGCCTTCGTTGGAAAGTGGATTAATTCATATAATGCTAGGCAGTAGACTTCTCAGTAACTTCTTTGTGTTGTGTGTATTCCACTCACAGAACTGAACCTTCCTTTAGACAGCAGATTTCAAACACTCCTTTAGAGGAATTTGCAAGTGGAGATTTCAAGCGCTATGAGGCCAATGGCAGAAAAGGAAATACCTTCATATAAACACTATACAGAATCATTCTCAGAAACTTCTTTGTGATGAGTGCGTTCCACTCACATAGTTAAACTTTTCTTTTCATAGAGCAGTTTAGAAAGAATGTTTCTAAAGTCTGCAAGTGGATATTTGGACCTCTATGAAGATGTCGTTGGAAATGGGATTTCTTCATATATTACTAGACAGAAGAATTCTCAGTAACTTCTTTGTGTTGTGTGTATTCAACTCACAGATATGAACATTCATTTAGACAGAGCAGAATTGAAACATGCTTTTTGTGAAATTTGCAAGTGGAGATTTCAAGCAACTTTTGGCCAATGGTAGAAAAGGAAATATCTTCGTATAAAAACTAGACAGAATCATTCTCAGAAACTGCTTTGTGACGTGTGCTTTCAACTCACATAGTTCAACCTTTCTATTCATAGAGCAGTTTGGAAACACTCTGTTAGTAAAGTCTGCAAGTGGATATTTGGACCTCTTTCAGGCCTTCGTTGGAAACGGGATTTCTTCATATAATGCTAGACATAAGAATTCTCAGTAACTACTTTGTGTTGCATGTATTCAACTCACAGAGTTGAAACTTGCTTTAGACAGATCAGAATTGAAACACTCTTTTTTTGGAATTTGCAAGGGGAGATTTGAAGGGCTTTGAGGACACTGAAAGAGAACGAGATATCTTCTTGTAAAAAGTAGACAGAATCATAATCATAAACTACTTTGTGATGTGTGGGTTCGACTCACAGAGTTTAACCTTTCTTTTCATAGAGCAGTTTGGAAACACTCTATTTGTAAAGTCTGCAAGTGGATATTTCGTCCGCTTTGAGGCCTTCGTGGGAAACGGGATTCCTTTATATAATGCTAGACAGAAGATTTCTCAGTAACCTCTTTGTGTTGTGTGTATTCAACTCACAGATTGGAACGTCCCTTTACACAGAGCAGATTTGAAACACTCTTTTTGTGGAATTTGCAATGGGAGATTTTAAGCGCTTTGGGGCCATGGTAGAAAAGGAAATATCTTCGTATAAAAATTAGACAGAATCATTCTCAGAAACTACTTTGTGACGTGTGCGTGCAACTCACATAGTTTAACCTTTCTTTTCATAGAGCAGTTTGGAAACAGTCTGTTTGTAATGTCTGCAAGTGCA
>NC_000007.14:61967063-61976104 GCF_000001405.40 Homo sapiens
GGACATGTTTGAGGCCTTCGTTGGAAACGGGATTTTTTCATATAATGCTAGACAGAAGAATTCTCAGTAAATTCTTTGTGTTGTGTGCATTCAACTCACACAGTGGAACGTCCCTTTAGACAGAGAAGATTTGAAACACTCTTTTTCTGGAATTTGCAAGTGGAGATTTCAAGCAATTTGATGCCAACAGTAGAAAAGGAAATATCTTCAAATAAAAACTAGACAGAATCATTATCAGAAAATTCTTTGTGATGAGTGCGTTCAGCTGACATAGTTAAACCTTTCTTTTCATAGAGCAGCTTGGAAAAGCACTGTAAAATCTGCAAGTGGATATATGGACAGTTTTGAGGCATTAGATGGAAACGGGATTTCTTCATTTAATGCTAGACAGAAGAATTCTCAGTAATTTCTTTGTGTTGAGTGTATTCAAGTCACAGAGTGGAATGTCCCTTTAGACAGAGCAGATTTGAAACACTCTTTTTGTGGAATTTGCCAGTGGAGATTTCAAGCGATTTGATGCCAACAGTAGAAAAGGAAATATCTTTAAATAAAAACCAGACAGAATTATTCTCAGAAACTACTTTGTGATGTGTGCCATCAACTCATACAGTTTAACCTTTCTTTTCTTAGAGCAGTTTAGAAACACTCTGCTTGTAATGTCTGCAAGTGGATATTTGGACCTCTTTGAGGCCTTCGTTGCAAACGGGATTTCATCATTTAATGCTAGACTAAGAAGAGTTCTCAGTGACTTTTTTGTGTTGTGTGTATTCAACTCACATTGTTGAAACTTGCTTTAGAGGGAGCAGATTTGAAACACTCTTGCTGTGGAATTTTCAGGTGGAGATTTCAAGCGATTTGAGGACAATTGCAGAAAAGGAAATATCTTCGTATAATAACCAGACAGAATCATTCTCAGAAAGTGCTTTGTGATGTGTGCATTCAACTCACAGAGTTTAGACTTTCTTCTCATAGAGCAGTTTGGAATCACACTGTTTGTAAAGTCTGCAAGTGGATATTTGGACCTGTTTGAAGCCTTCGTTGGAAACGGGATTTTTTCATATAATGCTATACGGAAGAATTCTCCCCAAATTCTTTGTGTTGTGTGCATTGAACTCACAGAGTGCAACGTCCCTTTAGACAGAGCAGATTTGAAACACTCTTTTTGTGGAATTTGCAAGTGGAGATTTCAAGCGATTTGATGCCAACAGTAGAAAAGGAAATATCTTCAAATAAAAACTAGACAGAATCATTCTCAGAAAATTCTTTGTGATGTGTGCGTTCAACTCACATAGTTTAACCTTTCTTTTCATAGAGCAGTTTGGAGACTCTCCGTCTGTAAAGTCTGCAAGTGGATATATGGACCGCTTTGAGGCCTTCGTTGGAAACGGGATTTCTTCATTTCATGCTAGACAGAAAAATTCTCAGTAACTTCTTTGTGTGGTGTGTATTCAACTCACAGAGTGGAACGTCCCTTTAGACAGAGCAGATTTGAAACACTCTTTTTGTGGAATTTGCATGTGGAGATTTCAAGCGATTTGATGCCAGCAGTAGAAAAGGAAACATCTTCAAATAAAAACTAGACAGAATCATTCTCAGAAATTACTTTGAGATGTGTGCCTTCAACTCACAGAGTTTAACCTTTCTTTTCTTAGAGCAGTTTAGAAACACTCTGCTTGTAATGTCTGCAAGTGGATATTAGGACGTCTTTGAGGCCTTCGTTGCAAATGGGATTTCTTCATTTAATGCTAGACTAAGGAGAGTTCTCAGTAACTTTTTGTGTTGTGTGTATTCAACTCACAGTGTTGAACTTTGTTTAGAGAGAGGAGATTTGAAACACTCTTGCTGTGGAATTTTCAGTTGGAGAATTCAAGCGATTTGAGGACAATTGCAGAAAAGGAAATATCTTCGTATACAAACCAGACAGGATCATTCTCAGAAAGTGTTTGTGATGTGTGCGTTCAACTCACAGAGTATAGCATTTCTTCTCATAGAGCAGTTTGGAAACACACTGTTTGTAAAGTCTGCAAGTGGATATTTGGAACTGTTTGAGGCCTTCGTTGGAAACGTGATTTCTTCATTTCATGCTAGACAGAAGAATTCTCAGTAAATTCTTTGTGTTGTGTGCATTCAACTCACAGAGTGGAACGCCCCCTAAAGACAGAGCAGATTTGAAACACTCTTTTTCTGGAATTTGGAAATGGAGATTTCAAGCCTTTTGATGCCAACAGTAGAAAGGGAAATATCTTCAAATAAAAACTAGACAGAATCATTCTCAGAAAATTCTTTGTGATGTGTGCGTTCAACTCACAGAGTTTAGCCTTTCTTTTCATAGAGCAGTTTGGAAACACTCTGTTTGTAAAGTCTGCAAGTGGATATATGGACTGCTTTGAGGCCTTCGTTGGAAACGGGATTTCTTCATTTCATGCTAGACAGAAGAATTCTCAATAATTTCTTTGTGTTGTGTGTATTCAACTCACAGAATGGAACGTCCCTTTAGACAGAGCAGATTTGAAACACTCTTTTTGTAGAATTTGCAAGTGGAAATTTCAAGCGATTTGATGCCAACAGTAGAAAAGGAAATATCTTTAAATAAAAACTAGACAGAATTATTCTCAGAAACTACTTTGTGATGTGTGCCATCAACTCACAGAGTTTAACATTTCTTTTCTTAGAGCAGTTTAGAAACACTCTGCTTGCAATGTCTGCAAGTGGATATTTGGACCTCTTTGAGGCCTTCGTTGCAAACGGGATTTCTTCATTTAATGCTAGACTAAGAAGAGTTCTCAGTGACTTTTTTGTGTTGTGTGTATTCAACTCACATTGTTGAAACTTGCTTTAGAGAGAGCAGATTTGAAACACTCTTGCTGTGGAATTTTCAGGTGGAGATTTCAAGCCATTTGATGCCAACAGTAGAAAGGGAAATATCTTCGTATAAAAACCAGACAGAATCATTCTCAGAAAATTCTTTGTGATGTGTGCATTCAACTCACGTAGTTTAACCTTTCTTTTCATAGAGCAGTTTGGAAACACTCTGTTTGTAAAGTCTGCAAGTGGATATATGGACCGCATTGAGGCCTTCGTTGGAAACGGGATTTCTTCATTTCATGCTAGACAGAAGAATTCTCAGTAACTTCTTTGTGCTGTGTGTATTCAACTCACAGAGTGGAACGTCCCTTTAGACAGAGCAGATTTGAAACACTCTTTTTGTGGAATTTGCAAGTGGAGATTTCAAGCGATTTGATGCCAACAGTAGAAAAGGAAATATCTTCAAATAAAAACTAGACAGAATCATTCTAAGAAACTACTTTGTGATGTGTGCCTTCAACTCACAGAGTTTAACCTTTCTTTTCTTAGAGCAGTTTAGAAACACTCTGCTTGTATTGTCTGCAAGTGGATATTTGGATCTCTTTGAGGCCTTCATTGCAAACGGGATTTCTTCATTTAATGCTAGACTAAGGAGAGTTCTCAGTAACTTTTTGTGTTGTGTGTATTCAACTCACAGTTTTGAACCTTGCTTTAGAGAGAGGAGATTTGAAACATTCTTGCTGTGGAATTTTCAGTTGGAGATTTCAAGCGATTTGAGGACAATTGCAGAAAAGGTAATATCTTCGTATAAAAACCAGACAGAATCATTCTCAGAAAGTGTTTGTGATCTTTGTCTTCAACTCACAGAGTTTAGCATTTCTTCTCATAGAGCAGTTTGAAAACACATTGTTTGTAAAGTCTGCAAGTGGATATTTGGACCTGTTTGTGGTCTTCATTGGAAACGGGATTTTTTCATATAATGCTAGACGGAAGAATTCTCAGTAAATTCTTTGTGTTGTGTGCATTCAACTCACAGAGTGGAACGTCCCTTTAGACAGAGCAGATTTGAGACACTCTTTTTCTGGAATTTGCAAATGGAGATTTCAAACGATTTGATGCCAGCAGTAGAAATGGAAATATCTTCAAATAAAAACTAGAAAGAATCATTCTCAGAAACTACTTTTTGATGTGTGCCTTCAACTCACAGAATTTAAGCATTCTATTCTTAGAGCAGTTTAGAAACACTCTGCTTGTAATGTCTGCAAGTGGATATTTGGACCTCTTGGAGGCCTTCGTAGCAAACGGGATTTCTTCATTTCATGCTAGAATAAGAAGAGTTCTCAGTAACTTTTTTGTGTTGTGTGTATTCAACAGAGAGTGTTGAACCTTGCTATAGAGAGAGCAGATTTGAAACATTCTTGCTGTGCAATTTTAAGGTGGAGATTTCAAGCGTTTGAGGACAACTGCCGAAAAGGAAATACCTTCGTATAAAAACCAGACAGAATCATTCTCAGAAAGTGCTTTATGATGTGTGCGTTCAACTCACAGAGTTTAACCTTTCTTCTCATAAAGCAGTATGGAAACACACTATTTGTATGTCCGGAAGTGGATATTTGGACCTGTTTGAGGCTTTCGTTGGAAACGGGATTTTATCATATAATGCTAGAAGGAAGAATTCTCAGTAAATTCTTTGTGTTGTGTGCATTCAACTCACAGAGTGGAACGTCCCTTTAGACAGAGCAGATTTGAAACACTCTTTTTGCGGAATTTGCAAGTGGCGATTTCAAGCCATTTGATGCCAACAGTAGAAAGGGAAATATCTTCAAATAAAAACTAGACAGAATCATATTCAGAAAATTCTTTGTGATGTGTGCGTTCAACTCACATAGTTTAACCTTTCTTTTCATAGAGCAGTTTGGAAACACTCTGTTTGTAATGTCTGCAAGTGGATATGTGGACCGCTTTGAGGCCTTCGTTGGAAACGGGATTTCTTCATTTAATGCTAGACAGAAAAATTCTCAGTAACTTCTTTGTGTTGTGTGTATTCAACTCACAGAGTGGAACGTCCCTTTACGCAGAGCAGATTTGAAACACTCTTTTTGTGGAATTTGCAAGTGGAGATTTCAAGCGATTTGATGCCAGCAGTAGAAAAGGAAATATCTTCAAATAAAAACTAGACAGAATCATTCTCACAAAATTCTTTGTGAAGTGTGCTTTCAGCTCACATAGTTCAACCTTTCTTTTCATAGAGCAGTTTGGAAACACACTGTTTGTAAAATCTGCAAGTAGATATATGGACCGCTTAGAGGCCTTCGTTGGAAACGGGATTTCTTCATTTAATGCTAGACAGAAGAATTCTCAGTAACTTCTTTGTGTTGTGTGTATTCAACTCACAGAGTGGAACGTCCCTTTAGACAGAGCAGATTTGAAACACTCTTTTTGTGAATTTGCAAGGGGAGATTTCAAGCGACTTGATGCCAACTGTAGAAATGGAAATATCTTAAATAAAAACTAGACAGAATCATTCTCAGAAACTACTTTGTGATGTGTGCCTTCAACTCACAGAGTTTAACCATTCTTTTCTGAGAGCAGTTTAGAAACACTCTGCTTGTAATGTCTGCAAGTGGATATTTGGAACTCTTTGAGGCCTTCGTTGCAAACGGGATTTCTTCATTTATTGCTAGACTAAGGATAGTTCTCAGTAACTTTTTTGTGTTGTGTGTATTCAACACACAGTGTTGAACTTTGCTTTAGAGAGAGGAGATTTGAAACACTCTTGCTGTGGAATTTTCAGTTGGAGATTTCAAGCGATTTGAGGACAATTGCAGAAAAGGAAATATCTTCGTATAAAACCAGACAGAATCATTCTCAGAAAGTGTTTGTGATGTGTGCGTTCAACTCACAGAGTTTAGCATTTCTTCTAATAGAGCAGTCTGGAAACACACTGTTTGTAAAGTCTGCAAGTGGATATTTGGACCTCTTTGAGGCCTTCGTTGCAAACGGGATTTCTTCATTTCATGCTAGACTAAGAAGAGTTCTCAGTAACTTTTTTGTGTTGTGTGTATTCAACTCACAGAGTTGAACCTTGCTTTCGAGAGAGCAGATTTGAAACACTCTTGCTGTGGCATTCTCAGGTGGAGATTTCAAGCGATTTGAGGACAATTGCAGAAAATGAAATATCTTCGTATAAAAACCAGACAGAATCATTCTCAGAAAGTGCTTTGTGATGTGTGCATTGAAAACACAGAGTTTAGCCTTTCTTTTCATAGAGCAGTTTGGAAAAACTCTGTTTGTAAAGTCTGCAAGTGGATATATGGACCGCTTTGAGACCTTCGTTGGAAACGGGATTTCTTCGTTTAATGCTAGACAGAAGAATTCTCAGTAACTTCTTTGAGTTGTGTGTATTCAACTCACAGAGTTGAACCTTGCTTTAGAGAGAGCAGATTTGATATACTCTTGCTGTGGAATTTTCAGGTGGAGATTTCAAGCGATTTGAGGACAATTGCAGAAAAGGAAATATCTTCGTATAAAAACCAGAGAGAATCATTCTCAGCAAGTGCTTTCTTATGTGTGCGTTCAACTCACAGAGTTTAACCTTCCTTTTCATAGAGCAGTTTGGAAACACACTGTTTGTTATGTCTGTAAGTGGATATTTGGACCTGTTTGAGGCCTTCTTTGGAAACGGGCTTTTTTCATATAATGCTAGATGGAAGAATTCTCAGTAAATTCTTTGTGTTGTCTGCATTCAACTCACAGAGTGGAACGTCCTTTTAGACAGAGCAGATTTGAAACACTCTTTGTCTGGAATTTGCAAATGGAGATTTCAAGCGATTTGATGACAACAGTAGAAAAGGAAATATCTTCAAATAAAAACCAGACAGAATCATTCTCAGAAAGTGCTTTGTGATGTGTGCGTTCAACTCACAGAGTTTAACCTTTCTTTTCATAGAGGAGTTTGGAAACACACTGTTTGTAAAGTCTGCAAGTGGATATATGGACCTGTTTGAGGCCTCCGTTGGAAACGGGATTTCTTCATTGAATGCTAGACGGAAGAATTCTCAGTAAATTCTTTGTGTTGTGTGCATTCAACTCACAGAGTGGAACGTCCCTTTAGACAGAGCAGATTTGAAACACTCTTTTTGCGGAATTTGCAAGTGGAGATTTCTAGCCATTTGATGCCAACGGTAGAAAGGGAAATATCTTCAAATAAAAACTAGACAGAATCATCCTCAGAAAATTCTTTGTGATGTGTGCGTTCAACTCACATAGTTTAACCTTTCTTTTCATAGACCAGTCTGGAAACACTCTGTTGGTAATGTCTGCAAGTGGATATATGGACCGCTTTGAGGACTTCGTTGGAAACGGGATTTCTTAATTTCATGCTAGACAGAAGAATTCTCAGTAACTTCTTTGTGTTGTGTGTATTCAACTGACAGATTGGAATGTCCCATTACACAGAGCAGTTTTGAAACACTCTTTTTGTGGAATTTAAAAGTGGAGAATTCAAGCGATTTGATGCCAAAAGTTGGAAAGGAAATATCTTCAAATAAAAATTAGACAGAATCATTCTCAGAAAATTCTTTGTGATGTGTGCGTTCAGCTCACATAGTTTAACCTTTCTTTTCATAGAGCAGTTTCGAAACACACTGTTTGTAAAATCTGCAAGTGGATATATGTACCGCTTTGAGGCATTCCTTGGAAACGGGATTTCTTCATTGAATGCTAGACAGAAGAATTCTCAGTAAACTCTTTGTGTTGTGTGCATTCAACTCACCGAGTGGAACGTCCCTTTAGACAGAGCAGATTTGAAACACTCTTTTTGCGAAATTTGGAAGTGGAGATTTCAAGCCATTTGATGCCAACAATAGAAAGGGAAATATCTTCAAATAAAAATTAGACAGAATCATTCTCAGAAAATTCTTTGTGATGTGTGCGTTCAACTCACATAGTTTAACCTTTCTTTTCATAGAGCAGTTTGGAAACACTCTGTTGGTAAAGTCTGTAAGTGGATATATGGACCGCATTGAGGCCTTCGTTGGAAACGGGATTTCTTCATTTCATGCTAGACAGAAGAATTCTCAGTAACTTTTTTGTGTTGTGTGTATTCAACTCACAGATTGGAACGTCCCTTTACAGAGAGCAGATTTGAAACACTCTTTTTGTGGAATTTTCAGGTGGAGATTTCAAGCGATTTGATGCCAATAGTAGAAAAGGAAATATCTTCATATAAAAACTAGACAGAATCATTCTCAGAAAGTGCTTTGTGATGTGTGCGTTCAACTCACAGAGTTTAACCTTTCTTTTCATAGAGGAGTTTGGAAACACACTGTTTGTTATGTCTGTAATTGGATATTTGGACCTGTTTGAGGCCTTCTTTGGAAACGGGCTTTTTTCATTTAATGCTAGATGGAAGAATTCTCAGTAAATTCTTTGTGTTGTGTGCATTCAACTCACAGAGTGGAACGTCCTTTTAGACAGAGCAGATTTGAAACACTCTTTTTGTGGAATTTGCAAGTGGAGATTTCTTGCGATTTGATGCCAACAGTAGAAAGGGAAATATCTTCAAATAAAAACCAGACAGAATCATTCTCAGAAAGTTCTTTGTGATGTGTGCGTTCAACTCACATAGTTTAACCTTTCTTTTCATAGAGGAGTTTGGAAACACTCTGTTTGTAAAGTCTGCAAGTGGATATATGGACCTGTTTGAGGCCTTCGTTGGAAACGGGATTTCTTCATTTCATGCTAGACGGAAGAATTCTCAGTAACTTCTTTGTGTTGTGTGCATTCAACTCACAGAGTGGAACGTCCCTTTAGACAGAGCAGATTTGAAACACTCTTTTTGCGGAATTTGCAGGTGGAGATTTCTAGCCATTTGATGCCAACAGTAGAAAGGGAAATATCTTCAAATAAAAACTAGACAGAATCATCCTCAGAAAATTCTTTGTGATGTGTGCGTTCAACTCACATAGTTTAACCTTTCTTTTCATAGAGCAGTTTGGAAACACTCTGTTGGTAAAGTCTGCAAGTGGATATATGGACCGCATTGAGGCCTTCGTTGGAAACGGGATTTCTTCATTTCATGCTAGACAGAAGAATTCTCAGTAACTTCTTTGTGTTGTGTGTATTCAACTCACAGAGTGGAACGTCCCTTTGCACAGAGCAGATTTGAAACACTCTTTTTGTGGAATTTGCAAGTGGAGATTTCTAGCGATTTGATGCCAACAGTAGAAAAGGAA